>NC_000006.12:11120606-11272121 GCF_000001405.40 Homo sapiens
GACTACAGCAAGTAGCAAAATCGTATTCTCATTCTCTAGATAGTGCTTTGTGTTTCAGTCATACTGTCACCATGAAAATCTGAGAAATTTGATACGCTGTTAAGATTCATTGCTCTGTCTTATGTAGCTGGCTGTCTTCCAATGTCATGAGTCACTGTGTGCCTTTATTTTCTTATTTAGAAAATGGGAATAATGATTGCTGGTCTCATTCAGATGGGTCGTGTAAAAGCACAGTGATTGAATGTAAAAGCACTGTGTGAACTGATAACTGTGTAATTGAAGGTGAAATTACACTTCTCCCCTGGGTTTGTGGTGTGTTGATAGTGATGGTTCATCACTCAAGTTCATCTATCACAACCCTTCTGCTGCCAGCATGTTTATCTTACATAGAAAACAATTTACAGTGTGTTTCATGAAATTCATCATTTGAACAAATGCTTAGTTATTGGCACACAGAAGTGAGTGCTCTTTTGCCTATCTCAGAATACACACCCTCTATTGCTGATTAGTTATTCTGGCATACAATGCGATACTGAAGCAAGACATAAACTTCCTTTTAAGCTGAAAAACTGCAAAACCCATCTTAACAATCAGTATATTGTGGACTGTACTTTGCCCCTCACCTCTCCTTTCTTCTTTCACTCTCTACTGTTTCTGTCTTACTAAATCCCAGGACATGGTTCCAGACCCATGCCCATAGAATAAGAGTTAAGAAGTTTCTGATATGTGCACTTTGGGTCTGGGAATTGTATAAGCTATACTTCTGTTAGAAGTCCGCTGTAGGCATGCAGGGTGCAATGGGTAAGTCTTTTTCAGAAGAAGGCTGCCTGGGTTTTAGTGGTTTTACTTCCTTCATTCCCCTGTCCCCCAAAATACATATGCTCACCTGGGAGAAGTTAGTCATTAGGGCCCAGAGTCCGGATTAGGTTGGTCTATATTTATGGTTATACAGGTGCCTCTCCCCCTCCCAACACACACACCTGCATACACACCCCTCTGCTGTTATTTGGTGCTCTCTTACCAATATCATGTAAAGGGTGATGCTTTATTTTCTATTACATAACTTTGCACTTGTCTTCTCTTCCACTCATTGTATAAAAGAGAACGAGTTCTGAATGCATAAGTGCTGTATTAAACATTCTATTAACCAGACATAATACAATTCTACTTGGAGCAAGATACAGTCATTCTTTATGTCCACTTCTGACTATCCATTATGTTGGTCATCATATCCATGGTCCTCCTGCAGCATTGCTCCACTCATCAGCAATGTCTGGCCAGTTTCTTTGTTGCTCCCCTTACATACATACCTACACCGTCTCACTAGTAAATACTGATTTTTGCATTAAGCTGCCTTTTCTCAAGTGGAGTCTTCTCAGGTTCTGTAGTCAACTGTTGTTCTGTCTATCCCCCATGGGCACCCCACTGCTAATCTTTTTCTTCTTTTCCTTGGCCAGTCTCCACAATTCACTGGCAGCAGCACTCATGCTTCTTTTTCACTGCTTTTTGTCTTTTCCAAGGCTGCATGTCCATCGCAATCATTCTAGGGAGCTTAAAAAAAATGAATAAGCACAATCCCTGGAGATTGATTTTGGGATATCTGGGATGAGCTCTTGGCAATCTGTGTTTTCTAAAAACTCCTCAGCAGATTTTGAAGTTCGAATGATCCCTCTTATGAAAGGTGCAGTGTGATAATCACATACCTTTAACTAGAATCGTTCCACTGGATAATAATTCTGAACTTGCCTTACTTTTACAGGTGTTCCTTTCCCTGAAAGGGAAAATATGAATCCTATCCTCTTGTGACCCTACCTTGCTCCGACTTTGAGTGGTTCCTCTGCCCTAGAGGTGGAGGACTTTTTGCAGTGTGGACCAAAAGTCAGGCCTGTGACCTTTTTGCAGTATGGACCAAAGGTCAGGCCTGTGACCTTTTTGCAGTGTGGACCAAAGATCAGGCCTGTGACCTTTTTGCAGTATGGACCAAAGGTCAGGCCTATCTTCTTGTGACCCCACCTTGCCCTGACTAAGTAGTTCCTCTGCTCTAGAGGTGGAGGACTTTTTGCAGTGTGGACCTTTATCAAAGGTCAGGCCTGTGTTTTAAAGGAATTGAGGCAGATTCCAAGAAGATTAAAAGTTTTGGTTAGACATTATCTAACAAAATAATTGCCTGTCTGGGTTTTTTTTTGGGGTGGCTCCTGTGATAGAGGCTGTCCTCCAAGAGCCTATTGTCTAATAAAGGTAGAGGAGATATCATTACTGGGGATCTTTTTCCAGGCTGTTCCCTCTACTCCCCTCTTAAATCTCAAAAAACACCCATGTCAGCTGGGAGTGGCAGCTCACACCTGTAATCCCAGCACCTTGAGAGGCCAAGGCGGGAGAATCACTTGAACCAGGAGTTTGAGACCAGTCTGGGCAACAAAGCAAGACCCTATCTCTACAGTAAATAAATAAAAACATCCATGTCCTCTCAGGGATAGGCCCTATATCCATGTTCACTGTACCTGCTCCTGGGGCTGACACTTGAATTCAGTTTAGGGCAGAGATTCTACGTTGTGTTTTTTCTAGGTTTGTGTTTTAGAAAGCTGGGGGGAGGAGGAGCAATCTACAGAGAGAAGCGTAGAGGAAAATGGAGCCGCTGTGCAGAGAGAAACAGATAATGCTGAGCAAATGACCTCAGTTCACGAGAACCTTCTCCTAGTGCTTGTCCCTCGTAAGGGCGCTTCCTCCCGTGCTCTCTCAGACACCTCTGTAGCTTTTAGTAAATTCCCCTTTTTTTGTTTAAGCTAAGTCTTTGGAATTTTCTAACTTGAACTAAAAGCTGCTTTATTAAAATAACAAGAGATGAACTATGTGTGTGACTTTCTATTTCGTGTTATATTTGTCATAAGATGATTACCAATACCATAGATGAATAGATTTTGAGCCCTATTAGCAGCAAGGAGTGTGGCATACCAGAAGTGTATGACAGAACAGTTTAGTTAAACTGAATAACAATTTGGCCATTAGATGATATGTGCAAAGCATTTTCTTACAGTTCTTATCCCAGAGTTTTAAAAGTTAGCTGTTATTATTTTTATTGTTACATAATAATCATACATATTTATGGAGTATATATGATATTTCAATACATACATATAATTTACCATGATCAAAGCAGGGTATTTAGCATATCCATCACCTCAAACATTTATCATTTCTTTGTGTTGGAAACATTTCAAATCTTCTAGCTATTTTGAAATATACAATACATTATTGTATGTATTTTTTATTTTTGTGGGTACATAGTAGGTACATATATGGGGTACATGAGATATTTTGATACGGGCATGCAATGCATAATAATCACATCAGGATAAATGGGGTATTCACTACCTCAAGCATTTATCCTTTGCATTATAATTCTTTTATTTTCTTTTAGTTATTTTTATAAATGTACAGTAAGTTATTGTTGACTGTAATCACCCTGATGTGCTGTCAAATACTAGATCTTATTCATTCTATCTAAATATGTTTTTGTACCCATTAACCATTCCCACTCCCTGCCCCTTCAGTACCGTTCCCAGCCTCTGGGAGCTATCATTCTACTTTCTATAAGTTCAGTTGTTTTAATTCTTAGCTCCTACAAATAAGTGAGAACACGCAAAGTTTGTCTTTCTGTGCTTGGCTTATTTTATTTAACATCCTCCAGTTTCATCCATGTTATTGCAAGTGACAGGATCTCATTCTTTTCTTTGGCTGAATAGGATTCCATTGTGTGTATGTACCACATTTTTAAAATCCATTTGTCTGTTGATGGACACCTAGGTTGCTTCCAAATCTTGACTATTGTGAATAGTACTGCAGTAAACATGGGAATGTAGGTATCTCTTCAGTATATCGATTTCCTTTTTTTAGGGGGGTAGGTGGGGAAATACCTAGCAGTGGGATTGCTGGATCATATGGTGGTTTTATTTTTAGATTTTTAAAGGAACCTCCGAATTGTTCTCCATAGTGGTGTTACTAATTTATGTACACAGTGTTTCCACCAGCACTGTACAAGGGTTCCTTTTTTCTCCACATTCTCACCAGCAATCGTTATTGTCTATCCTTTGGATAAAAGCCATTTTAACTGGGTGAGATGATATCTCATTGTAGTTTCGTTTTGCATTTCTCTGATGATCAGTGATGTTGAGCACCTTTTTATATACCTTCAGGTGGTTTCTTATCAGTAATGTCCTTTTCTTTCAGGTTGAAGAACTCCTTTTATCACTTGTAGGACAGGTTTGGTGTTGACTAAATCCCCTAGCGGGAAAGTCTTGATTTCTCCTTCATGTTTGAAGGATATTTTTGCTCGATAAACTGTTCTAGGGTAAATTTTTTTCCTTTAGCATTTTAAATATGCCATGCCATGGCCGGGCGTGGTGGCTCACGCCTGTAATCCCAGCATTTTGGGAGGCTGAGGCCAGTGGATCACCTGAGGTCAGGAGTTCGAGACCAGCCTGGCCAACATGGTGAAACCCCATCTCTACTAAAAATACAAAAATCAGCTGGGCATGGTGGTGTGCGCCCGTAAGGCCAGCTACTTCGGAGGCTGAGTCAGGAGAATCACTTGAACCCGGGAGGTGGAGGTTGCAGGGAGGCAGAGGTTGCAGTGAGTCGAGATTGCGCTACTGCACTCCAGTCTGGGCAACAGAGTGAGACTCCATCTTAAAAAAAAAAAAAAAAAAAGGCCTGGTGTGGTGGCTCACGCCTGTAATTCCAGCACTTTGGGAGGCCAAGGCGGGTGGATCCCTTGAAATCAGGAGTTTGAGACCAGCCTGGCCAACATGGTGAAACCCCGTCTCTACTAAAAATACAAAAATTAGCTGGGCATGGTAGTGCACACCTGTAATCTCAGCTACTCGGGAGTCTGAGGCAGGAGAATTGCTTGAACCTGGGAAGTAGAGGTTGCAGTGAGCTGAGATCGTGCCATTGCACTCCAGACTCCAGCCTGGGTGACAGAGCGAGACCCCGTCTCAAAACAAAAGACAAAACAACAACAACAACAACAACAAAATGCCATGCCACCCTCTCCTGACCTGTAAGGTTTCCACTGAGAGATTGATTGCCAGACATGTTCAAGCTTTTGAGTATCTTACTTGTTTCTTTTCTCTTGCTGCTTTTAGGATCCTTTCTTTGTCCCTTACCTTTGGGAGTTTGATCATTAAATGCCTTGAGGAGTCTTCTTTGGGTTAAATCTGCTTGGTGTTCTATAACTTTCTTGTACTTGAGTATTGATACTTTTCTCTACGTTTGAGAAATTCTCTGTTATCTCTTTAAATAAACTTTGTACCCTAATCTCTCTCTCTACCTCCTCTTTAAGGCCTGTAATTCTCAGATTAGCCCTTCTGAGGCTATTCTCTAGATCTTATAGATGTACTTTATTCTTTTTTCTTTTGTCTCCTCTGACTGCATATTTTCATTTATTTTATTTATTTATTTTGAGATGGAGTCTCGCTCTGTTGCCCAGGCTGGAGTGCAGTGGCACCATCTCGGCTCACCACAACCTCCGCCTCCCGGGTTCAAGCAATTCTCCTGCCTCAGCCTCCCGAGTATCTGGGACTACAGGTGCGTGCCACCACACCCAGCTAATTTTTGTATTTTTAGTAGGGGCGGGATTTCACTATGTTGGCCAGGCTGGTCTCAAACTCCTGACCTCGTGATCTGCCTGCCTCGGCTTCCCAAAGTGCTGGGATTATAGGCGTGAGCCATGGCGCCCAGCCCTGGCTGCGTATTTTCAAATAGCCTGTCTTCAAGGTCACTAATTTTCTTTTGCTTGATCAGTTCTGCTGTGGAGAGACTCTGATGCATTCCTCAGTATGTCAGTTGAAAGTTTCAGCTCCAGAATTTCTGCTTGATTTAAAAAAATTATTTCAATCTTTTTGTTAAATTTATCTGATAGGTTTCAAATTCATTCTCTTTAATTTTGTTGAGCCTCCTCAAAACAGCTATTTTGAATCCTCTCTCTGAAAGGTCACATATCTCTGGGAGTGGTCTCTGATGCCTTATGTAGTTCATTTGGTGAGGTCGTGTTTTCCTGGATGGTCTTGATACTTCTGGATGTTTATTGGTGTCTGGGCATTGCAGAGTTAGGTGTTTATTATGGTCTTCACAATCTGGGCTTGTTTGTACCTATCCTTCTTGGGAATGCTTTCCAAGTTTTGGAAGGGACTTGGGCATTGTGACCTAAGTCTTTGTTCACTGTAGCCATGTTTGCATTGGGAAGCATCCCAAGCCCAGTTATGCCGTGGCTCTTGCAGACTTGTAGAGTCACCACCTTGGTTGTCTTGGGTAAGATCCAGAAGAATTCTCTGGGTTAGCAAGCAGAAACTCTTGTTCTCTTCCCTTACTTTCCCCCAAACAAATGGAGTCTCTCTGTGCTGAGCTGCCTGGAGCTGGGGAAGGGATAACATAGTCACCCCTGTGGCCACCACTGCTGGGACTGTGCTGAGTCAGACTCGAAGCCAGCATAACAATGGGTCTTGATTGAAGCTCATGGTGACCACTGCCTGGCTGCCACTTACGTTTGCTCAAGGCCCAAGGGCTCTACAATCAGCAGGTGGTGAATCTAGTCAGGCTTCTGTCCTTCCCATTAGGGTGGGGTGAGTTCTCCCCTAGCTGTCTGGGAGCCAGAGCCAGGAGTTGGGAAACTTACAAATTTACCTGGTGCTCTCTATTCTACTGCAGCTAAGCTGGCACCGAAGCTGTAAGACAAAATCCCTCCCAGTCTTCCCTTTCCTCAAACAGAGAACTGTTTCCTTGTGGCCACAGCTGCCCTAGGCCCACAGGGACTACTGTCTTCCAGCCACCAGTGTTCACTCAAGGTTCAGTGTATTAGTCCACTTTCATGCTGCTGATAAAGACATACCTGAGACTGGGCAATTTACAAAAGAAAGAGGTTTAATTGGATTTACAGTTCCACGTGGCTGGGGAAGACTCACAATTATGGTGGAAGGCAAGGAGGAGCAAGTCCTGTCTTACACGGATGGCAGCAGGCAAAGAGAGAATGAGGAAGACGCAAAAGTGGAAACCTCTGATAAAACCATCAGATCTCGTGAGACTTATTCACTACCAGGAGAACAGTATGGGGGAAACTGCTCCCCATGATTCAATTATCTCCCACTGGGTCCCTCCCACAACACGTGGGAATTATAGGAGTATTTGTGTGGGGACACAGCCAAACCATATCTAACTCAGCTTGTGGTGAGATTTGGGTGGGGACACAGCCAAGCCATATCACTCAGTTAGCTTGTGGTGAATGCTGTCAGGACTTAGTCTCTCCTTCAGGACAGTGGGCTTCCCTCTGGCCCAGAGCAGGTCCAGAAATGCCATCTAGGAGCCAAGGCCTGGAATTGGGGACATCAGGAGGCTGCTTGGTATTCTATCCCACTGTAGCTGAGCTGGTACCCAAGCTGCAAGACAAAGTTCTCTTTACTCTTTTCTCTCCTTTCCTTGAGTAAGAGTTTCTCCGCATAGCCACCACAGCTCAGAATGTGCTGGGTCACATCTGAGGCCAACATGGCTCTGAGTCTCACTCAAGGCCCTCAGTAAGTACTGTTTGGCTACCACTGTTGACTATTTGGGGCCCAAGGGCTGTCTACTAAGCAGGCAATGCATCCTGCTAGGACTGGGTCTTTCCATTCAAGGCAGCAGGTTCCTATCTGGCCCAGGGTGTATCTGGAAATGTCAGCTGGGAGCTAGGGCCTGGAATGGCAACCTCATGACTCTGCTTGGTGCCCTATTCTAGTATGGCTAAGCTGATACCCAAGTTGCAAGACAAAGTCCTCTTCACTGTCTACTCTCCTCTCCTCAAACAGAGGGAAGAAGTGTCTCCCCGACCTGTGAGCTGTACTGCTTGTAGTTGAGGAGGGGTAATGCAAGCATTCCTTTGGTTGCCCCAGGTGGTGTCTCACTAGGTTGTGTGCCCTCTAAGTCCACTGGCTCCAAGCCCATCCTAGCACAGCACCAGGACTTGTCTAGGAATTTTAGTCCTTGTGGCTTAGATTCCCTTTCAAGTTTATTGAGGTCCCCAGAGCACTTTAGCCCATGGTGGTAGGGCTTGCTGGAACTCAGGTTCCAGTTGCTGGGGTGGGCAATTTCCCTATGGTTAGGACTGGTCTAGCTGCTCCCTCTGTGGGTACAGACTGAGTTCTGTCCTGTCTTGCTTTCTCCTATGACAGGACAGCACTGAGTTTCAGTGCAGAGTCCCATAATAATCACTGTGCTGTCCCTCCCCCAGGCATACAGATTCTCTTTCCATGGCATGTGACTGCTGCTGGCAGGGGAGGGAGGGTAGCGTAGGCATTTCAAGACTATCTTTCCTACCCTCTTCAGTGCCTCTTTTATTAATATGATGTTAAAACCAGGTACTGTGATCGTTCACCTGATTTTTGATTTTTATGGAGGTGCTTTTTTGTGTGGATAGTTGTTCAATTTGGCATTGCTACCGGGAGCGGGGGGGGGATGATCACTGGAGGCTTCTGTTTGGCCATCTTCCTCTGCCTCCCTCCTCTCTAATTGTATTTTTATACCCACTAATCAACCTCTTTTCATCCGCTCCCCACCTCAACACTTCCCGGACTCCGATAACCATCATTCTACTCTATCTCTGTTAGATCAACTTTTTTAGCTGCCACAGATGAGTGAGATGATGTGATATTTGTCTTTCTGTGTCTGACTTATTTCACTTAACATAATAACCTCCAGCTCCATCCATGTTGCTGCCAATGACAGGATTTTATTCTTTATGGCGGAATAGTATTCTATTATGTATCTGTGCCACATTTTCTTTATCCATTCATCCATTGCTGGCACTTAGGTTGATTTCATATTTTGCTATTGTGAATAGTTCTGCAATAAACATGAGCATGTATGCAGATATCTCTTGAATATACTGATTTCCTTTCTTTTGGATGTATAAACCAACAGTAGAACTGCTGGATCATATGGTAAATCTGTTTTTAGTTTTTTGAGGAACTTAAATGTTCTTGGTGGCTGTGTCAAAAATCAGTTAATACATGGATTTATTTCTGGATTCCCTATTGTGTTCCGTTTGTCTATGTGTCTGTTTTTTTATTAGTGCCATGCTGTGTTGGTTGCTCTAGCTTTTTGGTATATTTTTAATTCAGGTAGTGTGATGCCTCCTAGTTGTTATTATTGTCATATCTAACATAGCAGTTGAATAGCTTATTGGCAGTTGTATCTGGCACAGTAATACCTTTCTTAGTTTATTCTTTGCTCAGTCATACTTTTCCTGGTATGTATTCCTTGGGGCTTTAATAATGGTTTTTTCCCTCAAAACAGATGTGTCATGTGTCGTTTTCCCATTGAGACTACCTGGCATTTTTAGTCTCATCCTTTGTTCAGACTATGAACACTCTTTGATAAACAGCCTGTGGTAGAAGTATCAGATCTTACTAGTCCTAAGTATTATGATATGGAAACACCCTGTCTTCCTGTCCTCCTCCTGTCTGTCCCCAAAATTACACCTCTGTAAGAACTTAGTCATTTTACTTGGAGGACAACTTGTTGAACTTTCCTCAATTTAGTGAATTTACTGCAATTCTTATCTAAACTACAATTTATCTCTTTCCTTTGTACTCCCAACCTATCATTACAGTAGTCATTGTAAAAAAAAAAAAAAAACAACAACAACAACAACAACTGGGTGTTTATTCTTTTTGGCTGCCCAGTAGATGAGCTCCCTAGTTATATTAGGGGAATTCCATACCTCACAGTGTTTTGTGAGAAACAGTGTAACTACTACATGTTTTCCCCCAGCCCTCACACAGCCTATACCCAGACAGAATTGGGAGAAAAATGCATACTGTTCAAGCTTACCTCTCTCCAGATTTGAGGATAAAAATTACAGCAGTGTGGAATTGGAGTGGCTCAGCTGGCCAGGGTGGGGAGGGGAGTGGTGATAGTAGCCATAACTTGCCTCTCCAAACTCTAGAGTTTTTCTCATTGATACCACATTCTGGTTCTGAATTTTGACTTGAGATTGAATCCCTTACATTGGCTGCTGGCAGTGATTACCAAAAATATTTTTTTGATTCCTCTTACTAAAATTGGGGAAGAGAGAGTCTGTGATCTAGCTGAATGCTCTTGTATTCCAAGCCTCTGAAAGCTACAGCTGTCCTTAGTTCCTTACCTTGTAGATTTCTGTGCTGAGAGACTTACTCTTTCTTAACCATCCCAAGAGCACTATAGTACTTTATGGCAGGAACCCCACTGGTGAGGCCCTTTATCATAGCCTTTTCAGTCAAAAGACTTCCTCACTCTTCTTTATGGTCATTTTATACATTGTAGCCACTGTTGGAATCTTTGGTTTTAATGAAATCAAAACTATCAGTTTTTAGAAAGATTATAATTCTCTGATAGTAAATTTACCACTGTAATATCTGTTTAGATATTACAAGTGAGTTCTTGTAATATTACAAGATATTACAAGTGATCAAGTGAGTTCTTTTAAGTTACATTTTTGAGTCTAACCTAAGAGTTAAGAGAAGTTTTCCTTAGTATTTGTTGAAGTCAATTGACCATGTTAATTTAGGCCAATTAATGGCATTGAGGTATTTACAAAATATAAGTCTACAGACTATTCATGATTTATCTTACCAGTTTCTTTCTTATTTATCCCAATTACCAAAGCCATGTTTTGTTCATTGTGGAAAAATTTGGTAAGTACAGAGAAATATATTTTTTTAAAAAAACAAGGTGGGTCTCCAAATTGATCTGCAGATTAAATGCAGTCCCTGTCAAAATTCTTGATGCCATTTTTTTTTTTTTTTACTGAAATCGATAAGATGATTCTAAAATTCCCATGGAAATGACTCAGAATAGTCAAAACAATCTTGAAAAAGAACATTGATGTATTCACATTTCCTGATTTTTAAACTTAGTATAAAGCTACTGTAACCAACATGGTATGCAACTAGAATAATGATAGGCATATACAGGTTAATGGGATGGAATTGAGAGTCCAGAAATAAACTGTAACATTTATGGCCAATTGTTTTTTGACAAAGGTGCCAAGATAATATAATAGTGGGGGAAAATAATCTTTTCAACAAATGATCCTGGAACAGCTTGATTTCCTCATGCAAAAGGATGAATTTGGACCCCTCTCTTATACCAAAATTAACAAAACTGGATTGAAGACTTACATCTAAGAGCAAAACTATAAACTCTTAGAAGAACTACATAGATGTAAATCTTCATGACGTAGGATTGGTCAGTGGTTTCCTAGATATGCCATCCAAAGTACAAGCAAACAAAGGAAAAAATGATGCGTTAGGCTTCCTTAAAATCAAAAACTTAGGTGCTTCAAAGGACTTTTTCAAGACAGTGAAAAGCCGGCCCACAGAATGGGAGAAAATATTTGCAAATCATATACCTGATAAGCATCTAATAGCTAGAATATACTAAGAACTCTTACAACTCAATAATAAAAAGACAAGCAACTAAATTTAAAAAATGAGCAAAAGAAATGAATAGATATTTCTCCAAAGAAGATAACAGATGGCTAATAAGAACATGAAAAGATGTTTAACATCATTAGTCATGAGGGAAATGCAAATCAAAGCTTCGTGATATACCATCATGCCTGCTAGGAGTCCTGTAATAAAAAAGATGGACAATAAAAAGTGTTGGCGAGGATGTAGAGAAATTGGAACCTCATACATTGCAGGTGGGAATGTAAAGTGTTGAAGCTGCTTTGCAGTTTCACAAGTGTTTAAACACAGAGTTACCATATGACCCAGCAATTCCCTTCTAGATAGATACACCCGAGATAAATGAAAACATATGTCCATGGAGAAACTTGTACACAAATATTCATTGCAGTCAAAAAGTGGCAACTTTGTTTCTTATAATAGCCAAAAGTAGAAACTTCTAAATGTCTATCAATTGATGAATCCTTAAACAGAATGTAATATATACATAAAATTGAATATTATTCAACCATAAAAAGAAATGAAGTACTGATGCTTACAACACAATGGACACACCTTGGAAACATGGGCTGAGTTTGAAAAACCAGACACAGAGGCCACGTATTGTATGATTCCATTAAAATGACATGTTCAGAATAGGCAAATCCATAGAGACAGAGAGTAGATTAGAGGTTGCCAGGGGCAAGTGGGAGCAGGGATGGGGAGTGACTGTTAATGGGTATGAGGTTTCTCTTGGGGTTGATGAAAATGTTTTGGACTTCAGTAGTGGTGACGGTTGTACAATCTTGTGGATATACTAAAAAACACGGAATTGTATACTTTAAAAGGATGAATTTTAGGGTATGCGAATTACATCTCAATTTAAAAACTCAACAGAAGATACCTCAGATCCCACTGCCTATGGACAACCACAACTGACATCAATTGAGCATTTTAGAAAATGCCTAATGCCAGGCACCTAAGCCCTTTTGATACCTTCTCATTCATTCCTCACTATAGCTTTGTGAATATTCTGTCAGAACTGGAACTCCTGACTTCTTCCTTGGTGTTCTTTCCACTAATTCGCTCTGCCTGTTTTACACAGAATTTTGGGTAAAGAGAGAAGATGCTAATTTGGAATATCATTAAAATAATATTTTACAAAGTTGGGTGCTTTACTCAAACACACAGTTGACCAAAAAATATTTGTGATTTGGTTCAGGTAACACTCAGCACTCAAGCTTAAAGCAAAAACTTGAGAAATGGATTAAATCTCCGAAGTTTGTCTTTAGTGTCAAGGGGTTTATAGTAATTTTTTTTCCAGAGATAGTAAGAAAAAAAACAAGTAAAATTAGAAACTCCCCTTACGTATCTGTTTATCTTGGCCTGGATTAACACGGCTAGAAAAGCTGGTTGTATTTTGTTTTCACAAAATATGCTGTGTTTCATTTCTATTCTATGCAACCAGAGTCTTTAAAGTAGACAGCATCAAGAAAACACGTAAGCATGAAAAACCTTGTTAGCGTGGTTAAGTTAGTTAATTTTATGCTCTTAACATTTTAGAGCAACCAAGCATAGGTTCAGAGGTTTTCTCCTGTGTGTTCCTTTATTGATTAATGTTTGTTCCTTATTAGCGAACATTTAAAAACCTTTACTACTCCTTGCAAAAACAAAACTTGTTTTTTTTTTTTTGTTAAAAGAGAATTAGTCATACTTTTTAATGACATTGATGTGAAAATATCGTATTTTAAAAATCTGTGTTTTAAACATCTTGAATCTAAGATATTGGTGCCGTGGCTTTAGTCTTTCATCATATAATTTAAGAAAATGTATTTTCTTTGAAAAATTATTTCCAGAAACTTACGAATAGCTTGGTCCTGACTGAGTAGTTTTCATCATAGTGCAGTTAAGTCCTGCTGTTTAAGGCCTTATGGATTCTGATCGAAACAAACTTGCTTTTAGTAAATAAATAGCACCGAGATATGAAAGTCCAAGTAAATGGCAAAGTGAATTCTTTCTTTCCCAGAAAAATGCTCTCAAAAATTTGATTTTAGTATAAGTAACACTTTTACTTAGATATCATAAACTCATTATGATTTTACTGTAGATAGACTCAGCCCGAATTCTAAATTCTATGAGGGTAGAGACTGTTTTTGTCATTACTGTAATCCCAGAGTTTATCCTCATTCCTTGTACAAAAAATGTTTGTTATATCATTATATATTTGTAATTATGTATATTTTTATATAGTATTTTGTAATATACCCCCCATTAACTGTAACATTCTGAATTGATAACATTGTGTGTAATAACTTTTCTTAATGTTTTTGTCTTTCTCTGTAGGTTGGTATTTTGTATGGCATCTTTTTTTATCAAAATTCAAGTTTCTCCGGGAACTGGTGGGAGACACAGGATCCCAAGAGGGAGATCATGAGCCTTCAGGGTCTGAAACTGAAGAAGACACTTCCTCCTCTCCACACAGAATCAGATCCGCTCGCCAAAGGAGGGCACCTGCTGATGAAGGCCACAGACCCCTGACATAGTCCTGTACTTGTGAAGGATGAAAAGGCAGTTGCCAGCTTCTGTCTTTTACTGACTTCGCTTTGAAATTTACTAATGACTGAAGAACATTTGTATTGGATTTTAAGTCGAATTTTAAAAAAGATTTACATGTAAGCCATATAAAAATAAAGGGAACTGAAACCAAATTGGACTATTATAAATTTCATCTTAAAGATAATCTTTTGTTTCACCAGCTTTCTACTTATACACTTATTCCTTGGCTTTTGGGCTTATTTTCTTGCACTGGTGCAGATCTGGTAAACATTAAAGGCTTGAAAAACCATATTTTGTTAGCCCTAAAATGTACATTTTTCTTCCCATTTTAACTTATCTGAAATTGGGATGCATCTCATTACTGTCAACCAGGTGATAGTCATGTAACGCTCCTACCGTGTGCATGTGTGAATTTACAGCTTGTCATCGTGTCATCCCTTTAACCAACATGTGTTTTGTTGGTATCAAATGTGTCAGGTTTAATTGACATTTTAAAATGTCTTCAAAAAGATCACACTATGATTCAGCATTGAAACGAAAAGTTATTGTGTATGCAGAAAAGCATGGAAACAGAGCAGCAGGGCGTACATTTGATATTAGTGAAGCAAATATTCGTCGCTGGAGAAATGATCGCAATTCCATATTTTCCTGCAAAGCAACAACAAAATGTTTTACGGGACCTAAGAAAGGTAGGTACCCACAAGTAGATGAAGCTGTACTACGTTTCGTCAGTGAGACACGTGCAAAAGGATTGCCTATCACACGCCAAGCAATGCAATTGAAGGCAGGAGAAGTTGCCAAAACCCTAGGAATTGATGAAACAAAATTCAAAGCCACAAGAGGCTGGTGTGACCGATTCATGCGTCGAGCAGGACTATCATTAAGGCATCAAACATCGTTTTGTCCCAAGCTCCCCACTGCCATTAAACAGAAGACAGTGTTGGAGCACTCTTTCAAGAAGTGCTGCATAACCAGTACTCTTGACAACACCGGGAGAGACGTTCTGTGGAAAAATGCAGACATCAATGACTGTGGTTTGAAAAGTGATTCAGAAGAGTTGGATTCAGAATATGAAGTTATAATTATAACTTAACCAATTTATTTCACACATTTTCTTTACATATGCACAAGATTGATGTGATAAAAATCTGTTTAACTCAAAGCGCTGTTTCAATAAATATAAACATTTTCTGTGATATGAAAGCATTGTGTCATAGTTTAATGGGCAGTGTTTTTTCTTAGTGATACATATGGTGCATCTTAACAATTGGTAGTGTCTTAGGTTAAATTAAAAATGGTAGCTTGTAAATTTATTTTTCTTTTTAAGATAGCAGTTATTTATTGGGGAATTTGATTCTGACTCTTACAATGTTAAACTTGTAATCCTGTGTGAAACACATGTTTTTGGGGGGGAGGGGGTAACCAAGATTTCAGGGTAGTAACTTAGGAATCTAAGAACTATCTTCTACTTTAGGAAGAGTGGGATTAGTTACTCCCTTTGTATAGGAGGACTTTATGCTCAAGGAATGTGTTGTGGAGAAAAACACTTCTTCACAAACAATTCAGTGACAAGACCTCAAAGGTAATGCGTATTGAGGAAAACAGTAGTGGGTGAAAATTCCCGCTTAGCTGTAAAATGACTCTCTTGCCAGGTTTCCGTGTTTGTCTCAACTGAACTCTGGGCTGAGTGTTTACCAGGGAGAAGAGATGTGAATTAAACAACCTTCCTGTTTAGTGTTACCTGCTTTGTACAAGAATGAAGTGCAAAGCCAACTTACTTTATTAATCCAAGTTCTTTTTATGTTTTTCTTAACCTTTATTAAGGACTAGTCATCACAAAATATCTATTTAACCTCTATTTTATGATGGTGTGTTATTATGTTTGATACCTCATACTTCTTGCTTAGAGTTTTGTTTAACAGTTCACTGGCTCTGTCCCAATGTTTGTGATGAACACCTTTTTGCTATATTGTAGCTCTTGGAGATACTAAAAGAGAATTCACAGAACATAACTTTAGTTTTATGTGTTTGCTAGGGGAAGATTTCCTAGCAGCTGAGAGCAAGGCACAGTCTCTGTCTTCATTTCTTTATTAGATACAATTTTCTATTTTTATGTGACTCTAGGGCATAACAAAACAGTGACAGTTTCAAGCGTTAATTTTAATGCTTCCTACTAGCTAAATATCATCTTAAAATGATTATCAGAAAAAAAAATAATGCCCCCAAAAACTTTTGGGGGCATTATTTGGTACTGGGAGGATATTTAAATTAGATTTTTCATAGTCTATTGTTTTGAACTATGGATTCTGTTTTATGGTGGATACCTAAGGTTTATATAATAGTTGCTGGAAAACTTAAAGTAGCTGGTGAGCTTCCTGTTATGTCACTATTAAAGAATGATGGCTGATGTAACTCTGCCCCTGAAATCTACAAGGGTCATGCCCAAATTAATACAGGTTAACCTTTGTAGAGGTATATATGTTGGCATTATTTATTGACATTTATGCTTCAAGCATGTCTTATTTTATGTAATTTTAAGAAATACTCTATTTAACTTGTGAAATATACCTAAAAGCATACTAGTTAGCTCTTAGACTCTCACTTAGGGAGGGTAAAGAAACATCACTGATGCCAATATGAAGATCTATAAACAAATCCTTTGTTTAGAACTTTTTTCTCTTCGTGCACCTCACAACACACTTACCATGGTACATATTTCTTAATGCCACTAAGAAAGGCAAGATAGTGAACGCAGAATTATTTATGTGGTATAGTGTTTGTTTTCCTGTTTTAGTGCTTTTGTAGCTAAAACTTACTGGAACTGCATCACAACTACATTTGCAGTCTCAGTGGGAGGTGGACTAGCCTGTGGTTAATTTTAGAGCTTAAAAGTTTATAAGCATTAAAAACACATACATGTATTAGAATCTTGTCTAACCCCTCACAAAGGATGATGGTGATCAGCATGCCATCTTTTGAAGATTAATTCTAAAATTGAGGACTCTGGTAGGTTGTTTTATTTCCTTCCCAACCAGCCATTCATTTCCAATTGTTCTGCCTTTGAAACTTTTTGTGAAAATTGCCTGTACCAATTGCATTGGTTGCGTTGCTCTGATTTAAATGCCAAAAACACTAAATATTTGTGTAGTGCTGTTAAATGAGGTTTTTGATATTTCCATCAAAATGAATATAAAATTCACTTGATGGATTTTGTAGTGATGTTTTCACAGTTGAAACAAACATATTGCTGTGCGGTGGACAGCCACTTCACAGACATGCAGACCCATTTCTTTAGAGATATTAGGTTTAAAACCCATTTTAATTTTATTTTGCTGAAGGTTTGGAATATATAAAGTAATGGATTCACAAAATATGATATCTTAAAACATGTTGAAAGATTTGAAAGTGGTGCATTTTTACTTTTAAGAGCAGCAATCTTTGAAATTAGTCAACAATGCAGTCTTTTTTAAAAGTCAGTTTTCTCAAGTAGTATGTTGTAACGTAAGATGTAACTGATATAACTAGATTTTGACTGGTAAACTTAAAGTGCTTTTTATATTTGAGGTTGACTTTAAAAAGCCATTGAGCAGTCCTCAGAGGTTATGGACTCTCAAGCGACTAATGGAATAGTGTTCTGTTGTGAAGTCTAGAACTAAAGCACCTTGTATTGTCTGCTTCTAAAGTGTCCTATAGTTTTTAACTTAAAGTGTAAAGAGTAACATTTTATCTTATGTCAATTAAAGTTACATTTTTCATTTGTTGGTGTACATGTGCTACCTGTTTTATGGGGAATGTTTAACACGATCCTCCAAGTTGGTTCTATGCATAACCATTCACCAAATACTGCTGCTGTGATTCCTTGAAGGAAATATTCTGTGGTCTGCTATGATGCATTGCCATCTTGCTGCTTGACAATAGGTTTATAAATAATTAGAATTACGTGTTTTAATAGTACCTTTGTATATATAACAAGATGTAAAATTAAAGATGAGGAATGTGTGTAAATGATCATTCACTGTTTTTGTTTTAAAACTGGTCAGTACTATGAAGCTTCTGTGGTTTGTATGATGTTTTAACTTTCACTTTAAACTGCATAGAATAAATTAAATTGAAAACAACAAAAGTTATGTGTCTCTGGTTGATAAAGGATAATAAGTATGAAGGGTGCCTTGGACATGAAGGGATTTGAAAGCAGCCATTCTTACTAATGGTCCACACTTCACCCCATTTTTCAAATGAAAAGTCTAGAAGAATTAAGAGAATAGCAATAATATTTCTTAGTGCCATGAAAGTAAATGACTTAGGACATATATATAGCATTAAAGGACACACAGACACACACACACACATATAGTGTTAGAGCTACATTATTACATTTACCTTATTGTTTTCTTCCCATGCTGTATTCAACACCCTCAAGGTTGTTTTGTTAACCTGTTTGCCACAGATCATGTTTCACATTTTTGTTAGTATTAACCACCAGGAAGATTGAAGAAACTCATCAAAGCCAAGTAAAAAGATGGAGGAGTTTCTTTGAGAATGCAATTGAGAAAGAAAACCATGAATTTCATTGGCTGGGGCAAGTTGTGACTTCTCCAGGAGTGCTCAGCTGCCAAGAATGTAGGATGGGAAGAAGTGGATTGTGCTAGGGTTGGATTTTGCAAGGCAGGTGTGTCTGAAGGGCAGGGTCATTAGAGATTGCTGGAGATTGGCCCTGGAATTTGGGCTGCGTCATGAGAGAAGTTGGATCAGTAAGGCACTGGTAAACTGGATGAAAGGAAAGGGATAGGGAATTGAAGATAAAATGAATGTGACGTGTATGATAAGTTTGGGATGGAAATTAGGTGAAGTAGTTCTGAGTGATGACACTAAATACAGCCATAGAAAAGGGGAATCTGAGAACAGTGACTCATTTTAAGCATATGATGTGAGCCTCAGAATGGCCACTAATATTTTCCACATGATGGCTACAGTTGGAATGGAGAAGGTAACTATGACTTGGGGGCCATGTCAGGGACTTGGAAGACTTATCTTAAGGTCTGTTATGTCTGGTGGCTCTTAAAAGGAGGAGGGAACTTCCTGAAAATGGAAGAGGAATGTTCTGGGGGAGCTTCGAGAATGCTCTTTCCTCATCCTGGCCTCCCACCCCCTGGGCATCTCTACAAGTGCATTAGTTTATCTTGTGTAAGTAATTCAGCTGGATTGTAAGAATGATGCTGTTTACAAAGAACTTTGTGGGGGTTAGAGGAGGAAGGAGGGAAGGACAGCAAAAGCTTCACTAAGAATCTTGAAGAAAGGAGTTGGAGTTTTCCAAGTAGAGGATGAGGATTCTAGATAAAAGAATGTGCACAGGCAGTGTCATGGGAAGGTGCCTTGCTTGGAGAACTATAGATAGTTGGTCATTCCTGAAATAGAGAATGCACGTGTCCGGGGGTGGGGGTGGGGGTCCACTGTTTTGACAATAGAGATGTACAGTCTAGGTCACAAAAAGACTTTGTGTGCAGTGGCAAAGGCTTTGAAGTTCATGTCATATGGGACAGAGACTACTAAACTATTTTAAACAGAGAGCACTGATTTGCTTATTTAACATATGTTGAGTAGTCGACTAATCTTCCAGGCATCTGCACTAGTTGCTCGTGCTAACTGCAAGGAGGAGGACTGGTTGGAGGCACGATGGAAACAGGATGTCTCTTAACTGGTCCAAGCAAGAAAACAAAACTAATGGCAGACTGGAAAGGAGCAATGACCATGGGAAATTTGAGGATATGAAAAATCAATAGGACTTGAGATTAGATTGTGAAGGAGAAGGAGAAATGAAGGATGATTTCAACATTTAGCAGTTGATAACATGGGGGGATGCATACAGCAAGAGAAGTAGGTTTGGGATTGGGCATAGGGAGGTGGAAGATAGGAGTCCAGTTTTGGGCATACCATATTTGAATTTCAGGTGCTTATATGATATTACGTAGACAGAAATAACCAGTTGTACAAATAGTATGAGGGACATGGATTGAAAACACAGACTCAGTGTTATCACTATGTGTATGCATTTGAAGCTGTATGCAAAAATAGGATTCCCCAGGGTAGGGGGGTGGAATAAGAAGAGACCCAAGGTGACACTGCTGTGGTTTGAATGTTTTTGTTCCCTCCAAAAATTCATGTGTTGGAAACTTTATGCAATAGGGTTGGGAGGTGGGGCCTAATGGGAGGTGTTCAGGTCATGAGGGCCCTGATCTCATGAATGGATTAATGTCACTATAAAAAAGGCTTTCAGGCATGGGATCCCTTTTTTTTATTTTTTGAGATGGAGTCTCACTCTGTCTCCCAGGCTGGAGAGCAGTGGCACGATCTTGGCTCACTGCAACCTCTGCCTCCCGGGTTCAAGCGATTCTCCTGCCTCGGCCTCCCGAGTAACTGGGATTACAGGTGCCCTCCACCATGCCCCGCTAATTTTTGTATTTTTAGTAGAGACAGGGTTTCACCACATTGGCCAGGCTGGTCTCGAACTCCTGACCTCAGGTGATCCGCAGGTGTGGGCTCTCTTTTCTTCCATATGAGGACACAGTGTTCTTCCTCTGCGGAGGATATAGCAAGGAGATGCCATCTTGGAACCAGAGACCGAACCTGCCAGCACCTTGATCTTGGACTTCTCAGCCTCCAGAATTGTGAGAAATAAATTTCTGTCCTTTATAAATCACCCAGTCTCAGGTATTCTGTTATAGCAGCACAAAAAGAACTAAGGCTGTTAACAGTGTGGATATTTGTCCCCGCTAAACCTCATGTTGACATTTGATTCCCAGTGTTGGTGGTGGGGCCTAGCAGGAAGTGTTTGGATCATAGGGGAAGATCCCTCACGAAAGGCTTGGTGCCATTCTCTCAGTAGCGAGTGAGTTCTTGCTGTATTAGTTCCCAAGAGAGCTAGTTGTTAAATAAAGCCTGGCAGTTCCTCCCCAACCCCTGCTTCCTCTTCTCCATGCAATCCTGCACATGCAGGCTCCCCTTCACCTTCTGCCATGAATGGAAGCAGCCTGAGTTCCTCACCAGATGTCCAGTCTTCCAGCCAGTCAAGTCAAGAGCCAAATAAACCTTTTTTTAAAAAGAAAGAAAAAAAAAAAAAGAGGCTGGGGGCAGTGGCTCACGCCTGTAATCCCAGCACTTTGGGAGGCCAAGGTGGGCAGATCACGAGGTCAAGAGATGGAGACCATCCTGGCCAACGTGGTGAAACCCTGTCTCCACTAAAAATACAAAAATCAGCTGGGCGTGGTGGTGCACACCTGTAGTCCCAGCTACTTGGGAGGCTGAGGCAGGAGAATCACTTGAACCTGGGAGGTGGAGGTTGCAGTGAGCCGAGATTGCGCCACTGCTCTCCAGCCTGGCGACAGAGCGAGACTCCGTCTCAAAAAAAAAAAAAAACAAGAAAGAAAGAAATTACCCAGTCTCAGGCATTCCTTTATAGCAATACAAAACAGACTGAGACTCAGGCCTCTAAAGAACATTGGTATTTCTCAAAGAGGTTGGTAAAAATTTCTTAAAGAGACTGGTGAAAGAAGTTCATTAAGGACTCTGAGAAGGACTGGTAAGAGAACTGGAATATACATGAAGGATAGTAAGGTGCTAGAAGCAAAATAAAGAAAAAACTTGAAGAGCAAGTGTTCAACTGACATATATTGTAGAGTGATGTTGCTTGGATCCGACTTTCGAAGAAATTGTGCCAACAGGAGGCTATTGCAGTAGTTTATGCAAAAGATGACATGAGTCTGCAAGGCTGGTGGTAGTGGGGACAAATTGAAGAGATACTGATGGGAGTCAATTTGACAGGTTTTGATAATTGGTTAGATACAGGAAGTGAAAGACAAGGATTAGTCAATGGTGAATCACTGCTGGACACTGGGGTGGAATGTATTTGAGGGGACAGTTTGGGCATAATCCCAGGTGCGCGTAAGACCAGTGGAAATGGCCAATCCAGATCTTAGGATCTCAGTCAGAAGAACTGAGATCCCATCCAAATGCTATAACTTGACAGTTGGAAATTTATTTAACCTCCCTGTTTCCTGGTCTGCTAAATGGGAATGATAATATCTATCTCATAGGATTAATTTTTAAAATACCCATCAAGCATATTAATATATAGTAAGAAATCAGTAACTTCACTGTCCCCCTCCCTTCTCCTTATTCATCTTTTTAAGTGTAGAAACCTTCTTCTTCTTCTTCTTCCTCTTCCTCTTCCTCCTCCTCCTCCTCTTCTTCTTCTTCATCTTCTCCCTCTCCTTCTTTCTTCTTCTTCTTCTTCTTTTTTTTTTTTTTTTGAGACAGTCTCGCTCTTTTGTTCAGGCTGGAGTACGGTGGCATAATCTCAGCTGACTGCAACCTCCGCCTCCCGGGTTCAAGCAATTCTCCTGCCTCAGCCTCCCAAATAGCTGGGACTACAGGCTGCACCACCACGCCCAGCTAATATTTGTATTTTTAGTAGAGATGGGGTTTTACCATGTTGGCCAGGCTGGTCTTGAAATCCTGACCTCAGGTGATCCACCCACCTTGGCCTCCCGAAGTGCCGGGATTACAGGCAGGAGCCACTGTGCCTGGCTCCATATTTCTATCTCTTGAGCCAACTGCCTTCTCAGTCAGTTAAACACTGGTTAAACTCAGCATCTGCAAGGTCAAGCTTATGACTTTCTCCAAACCTGGTGTTCCTCCAGTGTCCCTATCCAGTGGCTTAAGTCGTCAGCCTGGGTATCATTCTTGATACTCTCTGATGTCCTATATCCAGCACATCATCAGGTCTTGTTGATTTTTCTTCTGAAGTAGCTCTTGAAACCATATACTTTCTTCCATTTTCTTATTACTGTCTGTAGGCCAGGTAATGTAGTGGTCATAAAATTAGACATAAATTGTGGTCTGTGAAATTAGACTTCTGTATGCCTCTTTTTTCATCTGTAAAATGGGTATTAATAGTAGTACCTATCTCATAGGGCTTTTGTAAGGCTTAAATGAGTCAATACACAAAGCATCTAGAAGTGTGCCCAGCATATATCGGTTATTCCCTACCATGATAATGCTCACTTGGGCCACTGCAGTAGTGGCTGTTTCAAATCACTACAGCCCATCTTTAGTATTTTCTCTTATCGTTACCGAGAATGAGCTTTTCACAACTCAAATTTGTCTTCTTGCTTAGAACATGTGAATAGGTTCCCATTGCTCCTAGAAAAAAGGTAGAAAAGCTTCGACATGCCGGTGACATGCTGCACGGCTTCATTTGCTGCCTCGTCATCCTCTTACTCTACATGCTCATGGCCACATGAGTCATCGTTCAGTTGCGCAAACATGCTGTCCTCACTCAGACATCCCCACCCTACTCACTGGATCCTTCCACTGGCCGTGCCCCTCACTCACAAACTTGCCTTCTCTCTCCTTATCTTCCAGTCCTTCTTTCAATTTCAGCACACAAATCACTTTCTCAGGGAAGTGTTCTTTGAACACAGCCCCCTTTCCAGACAAAGAGTTTGTCTGGAAAGACAAACTGTCACAGAGAAGTCTTCCTTTCCCTCAGTGGCCTGATCCCAGACAAGAATTGAACATTTGTTGGTGGATTTTTTTAAATTAAGTGCCACCATTCCCACTATGTTGAATTAATTAAACAATATTTCAATATAAAGTAGAACTTATATCAAAATAACATTTTAGCCTGCAATCTTTTTATTGGAATCTGAGAGTGTAAAATATAAAAGATGCCTTATTCCTGCCTAATGAGAATCTCCTGAAAGTGGCGATTTTCTTTAATCAGCAAACACAAAAGTGTATGTTAATGAGATACATATTTTTCAAGCCCCCTAATTCTGCATCTTCTGTGTCCATTTCACTCCTTCATCTCTTCTGCAAAGGTCAAAGGATCCTGTCCAGTGCTGCTGGAACAGCAGCTTGTGACCACGAGGTGGCGACAGTTTTCAAGAGTTGGCAGGTGAGGACGCCTTCTATTCCGGTCTGGTCAGGGGTGTGCTCCTTTAGAAGGGTGTCACTGGATGGAAATTTGTTTGGTAATTATGTGGCACCCTGTTTTGTGTCATAGGCATTTTACCTAGCCTTCTTTACCTAAAGCGGCTGGGGCGAGCATAGAAGCTGTTGATCAAACTGGAGCACTTGAGAGTGAATGGGAGGAGAGTGGACTATACATCATTGGGCCAGGACAACAGATACAAACCAGGATTGTTCTGGCCACACAGGGGCATCTTTTTTCTCCCTCTAAAGCCAAGTCAGGGGACAATATTTACAGTCTCTCTGACACCTACTGATGAAGGCTTGAAGTTGGAGAGAAAAGGAGCGCTCCCAAATAGCATTTGAATTTTATCTCCCTGTGTAGAACTCCAGAAAGCAAATCATTTCAGAAAATGAGTGAGGAGAGGATGATTGATTCAAAGGCTCACATATTTATTTGTTGGAGTCAGAGAAACCCTACCTTTGGTGAGATGTTTTGAAAATAATAAAGTTTATTTTTTTTTTTTAATTTTGTTTTGAGACGGAGTCTTGTTCTGTGCCCAGGCTGGAGTACAGTGGTGTGATCCTGGCTCACTGCAACCTCCACCTCCCAGGTTCAAGTGATTCTCCTGCCCCAGCCTCCAGAGTAGCTGGGACTATAGGCATGAGCCACCACTCCTGGCTAATTTTTGTATTTTTAGTAGAGATGAGGTTTCACCATATTGGCCAGGCTGGTCTCGAACTCCTGACCTCAGGTGATCTGCCTGCCTCGGCCTTGCAAAGTGCTGGGATTACAGGCGTGAGCCACTGTGCCCGGCCTAAAATAGTAAAGCTTTGTGTTGAAGTACCTCTCATTTGCAAACTCCTTTCGCGTATACTGCCTTCATTGAACTTCACAGCTCTGTGAGGGGTAAGGAAGGAAGGAAAAGTCTTATCCTTACTTCACGGGTAAAGAAATTGAAGTGCAATTTCTTGGCCATGGATGTGATAAGTGCAAACCCTGGGCTTCTGCCTTGTTGCTTAGAGAAGGGGAGATACTTAAAGCATTCAAATCACTGTATGTCATTCAGCACAAAGGAAAATGAACGCATATTCAAATGCAAACACAAGATGAAACCCTAATTTATATGAGCATACCTGGCTGGATAAACTAATGAGAGAGTATTGGTGTAGCACTGGCTTTCCCTCACTCCATACGGACTCAACAGGTTTGGGCTCACTGGGGTTCTAAATCTGGATTGTCCAGCAAGGAGGACTTGCACAGGGTTTGGAGGAAAGGTGCATTTAACAAGAGCAAGTGGCCTGTGAGCAATGTGGTTGGATTCCCAGGGGTTAATAGTAGAAACCTGCACCCCGTGTCCACATAGTCTGGAAGGTGGTAGGTCTCTAATGAGGGTGGCTTGCGGATACTCGGTATCTGAATGCTAAGCTCTGGCTTTGGAAACTGTAGCCATGTTTTCTGTGGCCACCTTGGACCCAGGGAGTGATGCTTTGAGCAGTAAGGTGGACCCCATAGGGCCGGATGACGAGCATCTCAGTGACAGCGCTGACAACCTGAAGAGCGCAGGCTGTTGCTAAGTTTTCTGGATTGTGGAGGACCCTTCAGGCTCTTAGGGAGAGGGAGATATGTTGCCAGTAATGACTTACATTGAATGTCTCACTAACCCTGGTAAGTAGACTCAGAGTCACATTTAATTTGATTGAGAAACAAAACAAACCCAAATACATAACAAATCTTGCACTGAGTGTTGTCAGGTTAACTCATACTCATTAGTGATTACATGTAAAAACAAGTCCTCTGCTCCTGTCCAGACCAAAAAATGAAACACAGAAAGAAGCCCAGGGCCCCGGCCTGTTTTCTAGGCTGGTTCCTTCCTAGCCCACACCATCCATCCATCAGTCCTGCCCCATGCTGCTGCAAATGCCAGTCACCTTGCCTGGTGACCTCTCACCTTTAACTCAAGGGCCACCTCTTCCATGCAGCCTTCCCTGGTCCCCTGTATCCTGTGGCTTTCCATTGGCACCTCCAGGAGATCTCTCACTTGTCCCTCCTTCTAGGCAAGTGTTCTCAGCATGCAGAATCACCTGGGTGCTTGCTAAGTGCAGATTCTTGGCCCTTTCTTATTGAAATCCACTGAATGAGAATCTCGGGAGGTCTGGACTAAGAAGCTGTATTTTTAATATGTGTCCCTGCAGGTGATTACTATCCTCTCTGTACCCCTTGTGCTGGCTTGAATAGTGTCCTTCCAAAATTCACATCTACCTGGAACCTGTGACTGTGACCTTATTTGGAAATGGGGTCTTTGCAGATGTAATCACATTAAGAAGAGGTTATACTGGATTAGGGTGGGCCCTAATCCAATGACTAGTGTCCTTATAAGAACAGGGAAATTCAGAGCCCCAGAGTGGCAACACCATGTAAGGACAGAGACATTGACAAACCGTGGAAGGCCACAGACTGCCCACGCATTGATTTCAGACTTCTGGCCTCCAGACAGTGAGAGCATAAGATTCTGTTTTTTGTTTTGTTTTTTTGCGATGGAGTTTCACTCTTGTTGCCTAGGCTGGAGTGCAATGGCGCGATCTCAGCTCACTGCAACCTCCGCCTCCCAGGTTCAAGCGATTCTCCTGCCTCAGCCTCCTAAGTAGCTGGGATTACAGGCATGTGCCACCATGTCCGGCTAATTTTTTTGTATTTTTAGTAGAGACGGGGTTTCTCCATGTTGGTCAGGCTGGTCTTGAACTCCTGACCTCAGGCGATCTGCCTGCCTCAGCCTCCCAAAGTGCTGGGATTACAGGTGTGAGCCACTGCGCCTGGCCAAGATTCTGTTGTTCTAAGCTGCCAAGTGTGTGGTACTTCGCTACTGCAGTCCTAGGTAACAAATACTACCCTGCACCTCTCTCTTCCTATCTTCTTTTGTCTTAAGTTATCCTTATTTCACCTTCTCCTCTACAGGAAGTTAGATTTCTTATTTAAATTATTTTCATGTTGTAGTGGACCTATGTCAATTTTTTGGGGTGGTTCAGTGGACGATCGCTTGAGGAAACGCGTGTGTCTACCCACCTCATGTGTCTTGGGAGGCCAAGCCCATCTCTCTCAGTAAAGGAAAATTAGGCTGAGGTGGGTGGATCACAAGGTCAGGTGTTCAAGACCAGCCTGACCAACATGGTGAAACCCCATCTCTACTAAAAATACAAAAAAAAAAAAAAAAAAAAAAAAGCCGGGCATTGTGGCATGCGCCTGTAATCCCAGCTACTTGGAATTGCTTGAACCCGGGAGGCGGAAGCTGCAGTGAGCCAAGAGTGTGCCACTGCACTCCAGCCTGGGCGACAGAGTGAGACTTTGTCTCAAAAAAAAAAAAAAAGACATAAAATTCCAGACCTTGGTTTCCTTCCCTGCACTGCAGCGATGGTGCAAGCACATCACCTTGTCCCTACAGCCATATGTTCCCACCCGTGCTTGAGGGGGTAGCAGCTCATAGCCCCAGGAGGCTGCCTGACAGAGACATTGCTCCGGATCTGCAGTGGCAGTTGCAGTGGCTTGAGTTGCCCACCCCGAGGGGTTCTAGGGTGGCGTGTGTGCTGATGTGGTGTGGGCCATGCAGGAGGTGAGGGCTGTCGTGTCATCACCAGGCCAGCTCCGCACCCTGACCGTGGTATTGGTCCTACTAGTGCTTCCTTTGACTATATTCCTACTGATCCTGTGAGATATCCAATATTCTCTCTCTCTTTTTTTTTGAGACAGGGTCTCACTCTGTTGCCCAGTGCTGGAGAGCAGTGGTGTGATCTCTGCTCGCTGCAACCTCTGCCTCCCAGGCTTGACTGATCCTCCCAAACAGCCTCCTGAGTAGGTGGGACTATAAGCATGCACAACCATGCCCAGCTAGTTTTTATATTTTTAGTAGAGAGGGGGTTTCACCATGTTGCCCAGGCTGGGCTCAAGTGATCCGCCAGCCTCAGCCTCCCAAAGTGCTGGTATTACAGGCATGAACCACCATGCCTGGCCCAATATTCTTTCTAATAAACCTCTTTCCTGCTTAAATCAGCCCCAGTGAGTTTCTGTTGCCTGCATCTAAAAAGCCTGATTGTCACTGGTAGGCCTTTCTTTCTTTCTCTCTTTTCTTTCTTTCCTTTTTTCTTTTACTTTTTTTCCCTTTCTCGTTCTTTTTTCTCCCTTCCTTTCTTCCTTCCTTCTTTCTCTTTTCTTTCTTTCTTTCAACAAAGTTGCTCATTCAACAAAATCTGAAGACAGACAATAATGTTCGCTCCTCAACACCAGGACCTCAGGAGGTAGTAAACGTTTCATCCTATCCACCTTTCTTGTGATTGGGGTTGAATACTTTTGTTCACCTTAATTTTAACTAAGTAATTACTATTAGTCATTAATTAGTCATCATTATCATTTTTGTTGCATATTTAAGAGTTGAAGCTTCTTGAGCTATACCGACATGTTTCCCGGTTTCTTTGCTCTCCATTGTTTTTGTTTTGTTTTGAGACAGAGTTTCGCTCTTGTTGCCCAAGCTAGAGTGCAATGCGCAATCTCGGCTCACTGCAACCTCTGCCTCCCGGGTTCAAGTAATTCTCTTGCCTCAGCCTCACAAGTATCTGGGATTACAGGCACCCACCACCACGCCCAGGTAATTTTTTGTATTTAATAGAGATGGGGTTTCACCATGTTGGTCAGGCTGGTCACTATGTTGCCCAGAGTGACCTCAAGCAATCCTGGCCTCAAGCAATCCATCCGCCTCAGCCTCCCAAAGTGCTGGGCTTACAGGCGTGAGCCACCGCGCCCAGCAGATTCTTTATAGAGTCAAATATTCTATTGGTATTTATTAAACAGCTCCTGGATTTGTAGTCTTGATTAAGAAAATCTCTGCCACCCTTACAGTGAATTCATACTTGTTTAGATTTTCTTGTAGGATTTTAATCTCACTTTCATATTTAAGTATCTAATCTATTTTGGGTTTATTTTTATATGATGTAAGATAGTGACCTGGGTTTATATTCTTTCACATCCACATATGGCAGATGCCTGGAATGTTTATTTTAGACAGGGGATGATTTTCCCCTTATCCTAGTCCCTGCACAGATGGCCACCTTTCTTCTGTTTCCTGGGCCAGTGTGAAGACATTTCTAGTCCACCTTTCATAAACAAGGCTCAGGGATTCATGCCAGGGCTTGGTACATTTTCTTTGCCTTCTGCAGTCTGGAGGTCACATCTGTTCATGTGAGCTTATACGCCAGGTCCTAGGGCCTTTATCAGGGCCCAACCATAGTGAGCCACGAGGCACCAGGGATGCGTCTACTTCTCACTGCTCTGGGTTTGATTTCTATCTTTCTTCTGGCTCCTGGTTACCTCCCATTCTTTCTTTGTTCAGCTGGATTATGAATACTGCAGTGAAAATATTGCCATTATATCCAACTCCTCTATGGTTTGCAGTAGGAGGGAAGACCTGTCTGCATTACTTTAGTCTGTGGTATTTCCGGAAGAGTTCCCTAATATTGGATATATATTTTGAACATTGGAAAGCAAGTGTAGAGCACCTCTGGGTCCTATGTGAAATGAGTCCCTCTGTACCCGTCACCCCCATGGGGCTCTGCAGTTGCCACCTTCAGGTGCCGTTCTGTACTGCCAATTCCCATTAAATGTCAGATCCTGTTCCAATTGTATTAGCCAGCCTCCTGCCTGTAATCTTCAGGGTAGTTGCTTTTTTTTCTTTTTCTTTCTTTTTTTTTTTTTTGAGACAGTCTCGCTCTGTTGCCAGGCTGGAGTGCAGTGGTGCCATCTTGCCTCACCGCAATCTCCGCTTCCTGGGTTCAAGTGATTCTCATGCCCCAGCCTTCCGAGTAGCTGGGACTACAGGTGTAAACACGAGGCCTGGCAGATTTTTGTATTTTAGTAGAGATGGGGTTTTGCCATGTTGGCCAGGCTGGTCTCGAACTCCTGACCTCAGGTGATCCGCCCGGCTCGGCCTCCCAAAGTGCTGGGATTACAGGCGTGAGCCACCTCGCCCGGCCAGCAGTTGCTTTTTAAACTGGAACGAAAGCAGTTGGCTTGAGTTTTTAAGTATTGTTGGTAAGTCTATGAGGCATGGCTTTTGAGTGAACTTTGTGCATGAAAGAAATTAGATTGAGAAACCTGAGGATAGAGTCCCATGAAAATGTATATAGTCCAGGCAAAGGATCTTACATCATATTGTATTTGCTGGGACAATAAAAAAACACCAAGCATTTTCTTCCGTAGGTCAGAACACTAGAAGTACCCTATGCTGTTTTTGTTGTAGTTTCCTTCTTTTTTTTTTTTTTTGTTTGTCTGTTTGTTGACTTATTTTGTCTGCATTTGTGAGGAGAGTGATTGCCATGCGGAAATTTACTTAGTAACAGATAAGAATCAAAGAATAGCTTCGCATTTTCTCTTTCTTCCCCCACCCACCACCTCCTCTTTTCACAGATATTGATAGCTTCACATGTTGTAAGGAAAGAGTTCAATTTTTTATAAAAGAATAACATTTCCTGTGCCAGAAGGTAGGCCAAGGAGAGCCTAGGTAATATGTAAATTGGGTAAAAAGTAAGGTGTGGCTCTAAAGTTATGCTACTTTGGAGGACCTCTTACGGAAATAAATTTATTTTCTTAGTCATATGAATTTCATGCTGTTAGTGGTCTTTAGAGAAGTACCTGTTTCTAAAGGTAGTTTAGACACATCTGGAAATCTTTCAAATATTAAAAAATATGATTTTAAAAAGTCTGTTTGCTTTCTTTTTTCTCTTTATTGGTTTTAAAAGTTGTTGTCTCCATATAGGAGTTTCATTTTTGGCAATGGAGGACTAGGTAATTCGGACCAGATCTCTTGTTCATGATAACTAGTAAAAGCTAGATGCAATAGATAATTAAGTTTTAAAATCAAGAAGAGCAAAAGGGTCATAAGGATTTATTGGCCAAGATCTGGGAGAAGACACAAATCAGGAGAGTGAGCCTCATATTTAAGGCTCCTTTTGTCCTGGGGAACATTTGCAGATCTTCAAAGGGCAACTGAAAGACAGAGTTGCAGTTTAAAAAACCCCTTGAGCCAGAGAGAAAGAGCTGTGGTCTGGAGCCTGCCAGGGGCAGAAGTCTTGGGAAGTACCCTACACCTTGGGAGTAGAGCCCTGAAGAGCTGGCCCAAGAAGGAAGGGTGAAGATAACTAAATGAGTCTTTATAAGGCTCATAGCCTCTCTTCAGGTGATTCTGCAGGCCTAGAAAATCTCAAACTCTAAAATTAGAATAGGGCGAATCCAGATTGCTAATAGTGCCCCCTGGGATTACGGAATAAGCAACAAGAATCCTCTCTGGAGCAAGATATATCATTCTAGTCCTCAAATTATTTCTGCAAATAATTTTTCAAAACCAAATGTCTAGCACACAATTTAAAAAATAGCACAGCCCTACTTCTTTAACATAATAAAATGTGTGTGTGTGTGTGTGTGTGTGCGCATAACAATCCAAAAGCCAGCCTCATACTTAATCTTCAAATGTCAAACACTTTAGGGAAGATTCTCCTAAAGTCAGGAACAAGACAAGGATGTCCACTATCTCTACAATTGTTGAACATTGCACTGACATGTTAGCTAATGCAATTAAACAGGAGAAAACAATTTGAAGCATAGAATTGGAAAGGAAGAGACAAACTGTCTTTGTTCACAGAATTTAACTGTATAGTTGGAAAACCCAAAAGAATCAATGGAAAAGTACTAAAACCGTAAGATAATAAAGTAGCAGCATATAAAATAAGCATACAGAAATCAATAGCTTTCATATATATAAACTAAGCAGTTTGATGAGAACACCCTATGTATAATAACAAAAATTTAAATATCTTGACATAAACTTAATAAGATAGAAAAAACAATAGGAAAACTGTAATACATTCTTGAAGGACTTAAAAATTTTGAACAAATTGAAAAACATACTATCTTTTTGAAGGAAAAATTCAACGTGATAAAGATGATACTTCTTCCTAAAATAGTTATAAATTTAGTGCAACCTTAATAAAAATCTCCTCAGATACTTTTTTCCTGGAACTAGACAAGTTGATTAAAAAGTTTATATGAAAGAATAAACAAGTGAGAATAACCAAGAAATACTTGGAAAGAACACTAATGTAGTGCATGGCTAATCTGGCTAATCCTATTAGAATGTACTAAAACATTTTAAATCCTCTAAATTAAAGCAGTGGGATACTGGCTCAGGAAAAGACTTATAGACCAGTGGATCAGAATAGAATATACAGAAATACATGTAAGGATAATTTAGCATATGACAAAGCAAGCATTGAAGTCAGAGGGAAACATTAACTTTAAACAATGTTTGGGCAGCTGGATAGCTATAAAGAAAAAGATAAAGTTGTAACTTTTTCTTAAAATATGCTCCAGGATAATTTACAAATGTGTTAGAGATCTAAGTGAAAAACAACAACAACAGAATCCATATAAGAACTAGAAGAAAACATGTATTTTATTTTTATAATCCAAGAGTGGAGATTTCTAACTATGACTAAAATAAATCTAGAGATAAGAGAAGAGATTGATAAATTTGACAACACTGAAAAAAAAACAACATAAGGAAAGTCATAAGATAATTACAAATTGGGAAAAATTTGGCAACCTTTATCACCAAATATTAACATGCTTTAATATAGTAAGGATTTCCTAAAAATTGAGACGAAAGGACTCCCTTCTACACACACACAAAGGGCAAAAGTATGAATAGAGAGTTCACAGAAGAACATGCTAATCACCCTCATGCACAGTAAACAATATGCATGTCAAAACTACTGAGATACTGTCTCATCTGTCAAATTGACAAAATTCCCTGTTTGACAATGTAAAATTTTTGGTGAAGCTGTGGTAAAACAGGCCTTTCATACACTGCAGGCGAGGACATAAAATGGTACAAATTTTGTGATGGGAAATTGGCAAATCAGTATATGCAAATTACATATGCACGTGCCTTTTGATCCACCAATCACGCTTCCAGGATTCGATCTCAACTATCCAGTGGCGATATACGCAGACATGTGCCACTATACTCTATGGCCTTATCTGTTATAGCAAAAGGCTGCAAAACAACCCAAAGGTTTTTCAGCAGAGAATGGGTTGAATAAAAACTACAGTATATCTAGAAAGTGAAACAAGGAGACACTTTCCATTTTCAGATATGATGGAGTGGTTAGTAGAAAACTGATGCTTCCAGTGAGAACAACAGAAAAAGAGAGATCCAATTGAAAGGGATCTGTTTGAAGTCTTCAGAGAGTCACAGAGACACCCCACAGATGAAGGGTCAAAATACTAGAGAGAAGGGAATCCCACTGAAGTGAGCCCAACATTCTGAATGTTGATTTTCTCCCTTGGCATTTGCTAATTCTTGGCATGAAGAAAGAGGTTGAGAGGCTTGGTAGAGACTTGGAAGGGGAGGAAAAGCAGCAGAGTTCTCACGGTCTTACAGGTCTGAGGTGATAAAACTTGGAGTGTGGAGTTTCCAAGTCGGCTGGGTTCAAGAAGTCTTGGTTCCAGAGAGAAGGGAGGTGCAGAGGAGTGAGCCTGACATCTGACGGTTTCTCTCGGAAGTGCGTAGTGTTAGTTATGTAGAGTGACAGTCAAGCCGGGAAAAGCAACTGGAAAGCAAGGTGGGATTTTAGCAGTCTTGTGTTGTAACGGAGATAAAAACTAGAGTTTGGGAACTGACAAGGAAGTAGCGTTTTATTTTATTTTTTTGAGACTGAGTCTCGCACTGTCGCCCGGGCTGGAGTGCAGTGGTGCGATCTCGGCTCACTGCAACCTCCGCCTCCCAGCTTCACGCGATTCAAGGAAGTAGCATTTAGCAAATGCGCCAGGCTTTCAGGTGAGACCATTGGAAAGGGAGTGCATGAGGGCTGATCAAGCCTTACTGCAACGCAGACTTCGTCTTCTTAGTCCCTGACTGGATTGAGATAAACTGACCTTACTCCAGCAGCCTGTCAGACCACGGGGTAACCCTTCTCCAGAGGAAAGTAACTCCATCCAGAGCCTCTAGACCCTGTGATCAGCATTCAATTCAAAATTAGTAGGATTCAAGAAAGAGGATCAAGAGAAAAAACATACTCACATGTGTCCTAGATTGTTGTAGCTATCAGATGCAGACTTTAATTGTAATTATCGTGATCAAGAAAATAAATTACAAAATGAAGAATTTTACTAGAAAACTGGAATGTATATTTTTCTAGAGAGAACTGTAAAGCTTTTTTGAGAGAATTTAATAAGTCAAAATTTCAATATAACAACAGCATTTGTGGCCTCAGCTTGTCTTCTTTTTAACTTACAGCTGCCCATCCACCACCTTCTTCTGGAATTCTAGCACACTGTAGGTTAGGCAGAATCTTCCTTTTCACATTGAGGCCATCTGCATACTCACTCCCACTCTTTCCCAGACCCATTTCCTGGCAGTCACCTTCCAGTTCAGTTTCCTCCTCACCTTCAGCTACAGGTGCTCCTTCTTCTCTCTCTTGTCCAGCTTCAACATCCTGACTCTCAGCTGGTGGTTCCTCTTGTTGAGATTGTTAATCATGGCCTCTGGGCAGCCACAGATCCTTCTGGCCTGGAGGAATCTTGACCACCTCCTCTTCTGGATCCTGATTTTACCCATGCACTCATATTTTACGCTGCAGGTAGAAAATCATGAACTAGGGGCTGGGCACAGTGGCTCATGCCTGTAATCCCAGCACTTTGGGAGGCCAAGGCTGTCAGATCACTTGAGGTCAGGAGCTCAACTTGAGGTCAGGAGATCACTTGAGGTCAGGAGACCAGCCTGGCCAACATGGCGAAACCCCATCTCTACTAAAAATACAAAAATTAGCTGGGCACGGTGGCAGGTGCCGGTAATCCCAGCTACTCAGGAGGCTGAGGCAGGAGAATCGCTTGAACCCGGGAGGCGGAGGTTGTAGTGAGCCGAGATCATGCCATTGCATTCCAGCCTGGGCGACAAGAGTGAAACTGTGTCTCAAAAGAAAAAGAAAAGAAAATTATGAATTAAAACCCCCCCTTGCTACCTAAACATGACCTCTGCAGTGTCAACTGCACCAGCTAATCTGGAATCTATATTTTTTAAAAAGCAAGTAGAAATACTGGCATTGAAGAAAAAAATACAGTAAGAAAAAGGAGAACTCCACAGATGTGGTTTAACAGCAATTTGGTCACAGCCAAAGAAAGGACTGGTGAGCTGGAGATAGGTCAGTAGAAAATATCTTGACTGAAGTACAGAAAGAAAAAAGGATGGAAAACAAAAAAGTGTATAGGAGACATATGAGACATGGTCTATCATATGAAACTTTCTAACCTGTGTAATTGGAGTTCAAGGAGGGAGGAAGAAAAGAATGTGGCAGAAGCAATATTAGTAGAGATAATAAACAAGAATTTTCCAAAAGGGGTAAAAAATATTGAGTCATAGAATCAAAAATTACTAAGAACCTAAAGCAAAATAAAGGCAACAAAAATAACGCCTTGGCATACTACAATCAAATTAATAAAAATTAAAGACAAGAAAATCATAAAAGCAAGTAGAGAAAAAAGATACATTACTTCAAGGAAGCAATGATAAGATTAATAGCTAACTTCTCAATGGAAGTGATGAAAACTAAATGATGGAATGACACCTTTAAAAGGCTGAAGAGAGACAACAGCAAGCCTAGAATTCTATATTTGGTGAAAATATCCTTCCAAAATAAAAGCAAAAGAAAGATATTTCCAGAAAAACAAAAACTAATACTAATATGAGTGTATGTCACCAATAAACTTCTAATAGAAGAAATGTTAAATGGAGTTATTTGTGTTTTGCATCACAATTGTTGTAGGGCTTATACAAATTTATACATGCATTAAAATTCATAGAACTGTATGCCAAAAAGTCAGTACTTCTTTTTTTAAAGAGGTGCTTTAGGCACAAGGAATGTGGTCCCAGATGGAAATCCAGAGATGTAGGAAGGAATAAAGAGCAATAGAAAAAGCAAATATATCAGTAAATATAAGTGACTATTGACTATCCAACAATAATAATATCTTTTGTGGTTTAAAATTAATGTTGAATTGAAATATACGACATCCATAAAACGAAAGACAGCATGGGGCAAATAGAGAAAACTGTGCTGAGGAAAGAACATTATCCAACAATAACGTTGGATATTGTGGTTTAAAATTAACGTTGAATTGAAATATATGACAGCCATAAAACAAAAGACAGCATGAGGCAAATAGAGAAAAGTAACCTAAGGAATGAACATATTCTAGGGAAGTGTAAGTACTAATTTGTATTTAACAGTAGTAAGTCAAGGATTCATATTATAATCTCTAACATAAACACTAAAATATAGTAAAATACTCTATAATTGAAAAGCTAATAGAGGGAGAGACTATTAATACTTAATTCAAAAGAAGGCAAGAAGGGAAGGAAAAACATAAAATGAGCTAAATATATAATAAATAATAGGTATAAATGAGCCCAAATATATCAGTCATTACTTGATATTTTACTTGGGGTAGTTTATATATTTACATTACTGAGATAAATACATGAAATACCCCCATATAAATATATAAAATACCCCAAGTAAAATATCAAGATTGTCAAACTAGTTTGAAGAACAAAGCATAACTATATGCTACATTTTTGGATTTATTCCAAGAATAAAGCTTGATTAATACTTTAAAAACTAATCAGTTTAGCTCACTACATTAATGGAATGGGCAAGGAGGAAACATTTCTAAACTCTTTTTATGAAGCTAGCATAATGTGTCAAGGAAATTACAAAAAAGGGCATTCCTGAGTTAGTCTTTCTCATGGACATGGATGCAAAAATTCTAGACAAAATATTGGCAAATTGAACCCAGTGGTATATAAAAAGGATAATATGATACAGCTAACTTGGGTTTAAATAAGAATGCAAGGTTGGCTTAATATTTGAAAATCAATCAATGTAATTCCCCACATTAAGGAAAAAAGGGGAAAAAATCATATGATCATCTCAGATACAGAAGATATATTTGCTAAAAATTGACACCTATTTTTTATTTAGAAACTTTAAGCAAAAAAAGAAACTTTCAGCAAACCAGGAATAAAATAGATTTTTCAAAATCTGATAAAGTACTACAAAAATTATTCAGAAAACACTATACATAATGGTGAAATACTGAAAGTTTTACCTTGAATATGGAAACAACTAAAGAATGTCAACTCTTGCCATTTCTATTCTAGGTTGTACTGGAGTACTTTTCAAAAAGAAAAAAGTTGACAGTTAAATAAAAACTAATAAAATAGTTACTTATGGGGAGGGTAGAAGGGACATGAATGAGAGTGAACCTCTGTGAAAATAGCTTCTTATAAAACCCAATATATATTTATTATAATTAAAATACAAAAATTAAGTTTTAAAGAAGTGAAAATAATCAATAAAAATGGTAAATGAATGGAAACAAATGAACCTGTCTATCAAATTGGTGCAAGAGTCATAAAGAGGAAAATATTCCAAGTGAATTTAGGATATGGTAATTTGACTGTACATCTCAGATAATATATTCTAATGATGAGAATAACTACTAAAAAATCTCAAATGGCATTCAGTATCTAATTGTTAGTAGTAATATTGTCATTGTTGCTTGGAAACTGTTATATGAATGTTCAAACTGTTACTTTGAGACTGTTATATGACAAATAAATAATTATATTACTCCTAAAAGGAATCAAGGTTTTCAGTGTACAAGAAATGAGATCAAAGGATAAAATAAAAGAAAATAAGTAAAACTTTATTTTTTTATTTAAGTTAAAAATATAACTATGAATTTGTGGCTTTTCCCTTTTATTAAATAACAACACCACCATCTTATTTCCTAGCCTTGTCAAATATAGGATCTAGATGCAATAATTACTCATAGCACTGGTCACTTCTAATATCCAGATTGTGGTCTCTCAGTACTGTTTCCAACGTAAAGGAAATGAGTTTTTGGGAAACTGAATGATGCTAGGTCTGGGGCAGGAAAACACTAGTTGGATCTGGGGCACACTATTGCACCAGAAAGTGAGGAAGCAATCAAAGACTGGTGTGATTACATTAAAAGACCATAGGAATTAAGTAGAAGAAGCTCCCACTGGCCAAAAAATGGGAGAATTTGAGTTCACAAAGAGAATAATGACTGCGATTGATAGAAATATATCAAATATCTAAAAATCAGTAAGTTCAGAACAGGACAAGGGTGTCACTCTTTCCATTTCCACATTGTACCATAGAACATTCTGGCTAGGACAGCTAGGCAAAAAAAAAAAAAAAAAAAAAAAAAAGAAGATTCACATTGGTAAGTAAGAAGTAAAATTATTTATATTCACAAATGACATGATCTTGTATATTAAAAAGATCAAAGACTCTACCAAAAAACAATGAGAACTAACACACAAGTTCAACAGATCAATATAAAAAAATCAATTGTATTTCTATACAGTAGTAATAAATAGTCTGAAAATGAAATTAAGAAAACCATTCTCTTTACATGAGTGTCAAAATGAATAAAATACTTAGGAATAAATTTATTTTATTCCTAAGGAATAAAAGGAAGTACAAAACTCAAAACTTGTACACTGAAAACTACAAAACAGTATTGAAAAACATTAAAGAAGATTTAAATAAATGGAAAGGCACTCCATATTAACAGATTGAAAGACTTAATATTGTTGGGATGGCAATATTCCAGTTCATCTACAGATTCAACACAATTTCTATCAAAATTCATATGGGCATGGAAGGAAACCAGAATGGTCCAAATAATCTTTAAAAAGAACAAAACTGGTTACTCATATTTCCTGATTTCAAAACTTATTACAAAGCTATAGAAATCAAGACTGTTTTTTACTGTCATAAGGATAGACATATTGACCAATGAAATATAATTGAGAATCCAAAAATAAATTCATATGCTTATGGTCAATTGATTTTTGACAAAGCAGCCGAGACCATTTCATGGGAAAAGAATAGTCTTCAACAAATGCTGGAAGAACTGAATAACTGAATATCCACATGCAAAAAAATCAATTTGTACCCTGAAATCCTACCATACACAATAAAGTGAATCATGTATCTACATATAAAAGCTAAAATCATTAAACTCAGAAGAAAACACAGTAGTAACTCTTTATGATCTTGAATTAGGCAATGGTTTCTTAGTTATGGCAACAAAAGCACAAGGGATAAAAGAAAAGATTGATAAGTTGGACTTCATCAACATTAAAAAAATTTTGTGCTTCAAAGAATGCCATCAAGAAAGTGAAAAACAACACACAGAGAATATTCTCAAATCATGTATCTGAAAAGGGACTCATATCCAGACTATCTAAAGAATTCTTACAATAATAAAAGACACATAAGCCAATTAAAAAATGGGCAAACGATTTGAATAGATATTTTTCCAAAGGAGATAATGAATGAATAATGAGCACATGAAAAGATGCTCAGCATCACTGGTCATTAGAGAACTACAGCTAAAAACCCCAAGGAAATACTACTGCACACCCGCTGGAATGGCTGTCATAAAAAAAGACAGCCAGTAACAAGTGTTAGTGAGGATATGGAGAAAACTGGAACTTCATACATTGCCAGTGTGAATGTAAAAGGTGCAGTCCCTTTGGAAACGAGTTTGGCAGTTCCTCAAAATCTTAAACATAAAGTTACCATATAACCTAGCAATTCCACTCCTAGGAATCTACCCAAGAGAAATGAAAACATGTCCATACAAAAATTTGTACATGAATGTTCATAACAGCATTACTCACAATAGCCAAAAAGTGGATACAATCCAATGTCTATCAACTGATGAATAAACAAACTGTACCATATCCATGCAATAGGATATTACTCAGCAATAAAAGAACTGAATTACTTACATATGCTACAATATGGGTGAGTCCCAAAAACATAAGTGTCACAAAAGTCCACATATTGTGATCATTTATATGAAATATCAGAAAAGGTAAATCTTTTTTATCTTTTTTTTTGCTAGACTTTTAAAAGCAAAAATCTTGGTTTTACTCATCAATTCTACTTTTTGTTTGTTTTTAAATCCCTTACTTTTGTTTTTATCTCTACTAGTATTTCTACTTTGTTTTGGTTAATTTTGTTTTTTCTTACTTTTGAGTGAAAATGAATTAATTTGGTTTAGTTTCAAATTTCTAAATTTCCAGTTGCTTTTTGGAGGGTTCTGTCTTAATTTAAAATATGAATATGAAGACAGATACCTTCTTGAGAGACCTGAAAATGTTATTTCCAAATTCCAAATATGACACTGTATTATGTTGTTCTATTGAAAGAATCAATCTGAGATAATTCACATTAAAATATGAAGTTGGATCTGCAGGAGAGAAGATTGTAGTTAGTCTTGTAAATTTAAAAGTTGTCTTTCCATGAAAACATTAAGAAAAGCAGATGGCCATGTTTTGTTTCTATTATCCCTGCTTGAGCCTAGGATTATCCAAATTCCAATTTCCCAAAACTGCTAATACAAAAAAGGTATGCGCCTTCAAGGAACGTCTTTCCTTTAAAAACCTCATCCCACTCATCCAAAATCTTATTAAAGTCATTTGACAGCCTTCATTCTTTTTTGACCAATCAGTTCCCCAAGCTCAACCAACTTTGTTCAGAAACCTTTTACATTTCTTATTATGTGGGAAAATGATTCATTTTAATTGAAGAGAGCTTGTTCGGAATTTTCAAAATGAAATTTGAGCTCAGACAAAGAAAGCCTCAGACAGAAAGGGTAATTTTTCATCAACTACTGAAACCAGGGGACATAAAACGAATGTCTGTCTGTGCCCTTAGCATTCATGGTTTCTGCCATGGAACTGAATGCCCATTCTTCATTGTTGATCTGTGACTCAGCCCTTGTGCATGAATACTTGGATAGAACAGAGACACACAGCAGGGCAATTCTTCCCTAGTTTAAATTGTTTATGGTGCCTTTTGTACCTATAATTCACAATTTAAACATTCCTCTTAAGTGCATTTGTTTATATGCTACTCAGGCTTAACAATGGGCTTTTGAGAAGCTCTTATGTACTATTACACTACGAAATGTCTCCTTACCATAGAAAAGAAGGTGGTGGGGGAGTGGGGATGGGAATATGACCTTCTGCCCTGAGGACTTGTGCAAAGAACGCAGACTGACTGTGGGAATCTGGGGAAAGAAATGATTCCTCCAACAACTGAAGGAGGAGTGTGAAACAGGTGCTCCAATATTGAGGCTGTACAGGAGGAAAGAGCCTGGGCTCAGGAATGATACAGAGCACGAGGTGCTTCATGAATGTCGTGGAAGAGTTAGGCCGGTGAAGCACAGGTAAATGTGTGCCAGGCAGGAGAAACAGCAGAAACGATTTAGGAAGGTATGGCAGGTCTTGTGCGTGTAGAGGGGTTTCATGCAAGACTGAAGCAGGTGTGGAGAGGACGAGATGCAGGAGATGAGGTCCACTCAAGGAGGGTCTTGTAGGCCACACCAAGAGAGGGCATTGGGGTGCCCTTAGGGGGTGGCAGGATCATATCAGAATCGGGGGATTGTCTCCCTGAAGCAGGGTGGAGATCAGATGGGAAAGGGCAGGGTGTGTGGAATCAGGGAGGTCAGTTAGGAGGCCTTTGCAGTTGCCCAGCTTGCAATGATGGCACCTGGCAGTAAGGAAACAGCCATGGGAATAGTGAAAGTGAGCAGATCCTGTGATGTTAGAGGCTCACTTCTATTACTCTTGGCCGTTGGTTGGATATGGGGCCTGAAGGAATGGAATGATTTTCATTTCTGCCTTCACAAGCTGGGTGGATGGTAGTGCCTTTTGCTAGGCCAGACCACACAAGCAGAGGTTGTCTGCAAAATGCAGGCAGAGTGGTTATGCATGCTGGAAGGTATGGGAAAAGTGGACAAGGCTGGAGACAGATATATAAAACAAGACAAGCTGACCGAAAGCATGCTCAGCAGTCTTTGGCTCTCACAGAGTATGGAGACCATAACTGGCATGGCCTGCGTGGCTGTAGGATTTTTTTCCAGGCTCATGAGAGAGGTGGGTGCTGACTGATGCCCTGGCTTGGGCAGATGTCCCTCAGATCAGAGCAGGACATACTTAGATGCCAAAGTGTCCTATCCAACAATAGTCAAGAGATGTCCACCAATGTAGGAATAGATAAACAAAACATGGTATAAACATATCATGGAATATTATTCAGTCTTAAAAAGGAAGGAAATTCTGACCCATGCTAGAACATGAAGGGACCTTGAGGACATTATGCTATGATAGATAAGCTAGTCACGAAAAGACATATACTGTATGACTTCAAAATTCATAAAGACAGAAGGTGGAATGATGGTTGCCAAGGGCTGGGGCAGGGGAGAGTGGGGAGCTTCTAACAGGTTCAGAGTTTCAGCTTTGCAAGGTGAAAGTGTTCTGGAGGTCTGTGGCATAACAACGTGAATACAGTTAACACTACTGAACTGAACACTTTAAAATTTTCACCACAATTAAAAATTTAAAAAATTTTGGCTGGGCATGGTGGCTCAAGCCTATAATCCCAGCACTTTGGGAGGCCAAGGCAGGTGGATCACTTGAGGTCAGGAGTTCAAGACTAGCCTAGCCAAGATGGTGAAACCCCGTCTCTACTACAAATACAAAAATTAGCCCGGCATAGTGGTAGGTGCCTGTAATCCCAGCTACTCAGGAGGCTGAGGCGAAGAATCGCTTGAACATGGGTGGCAGAGGTTGCAGTGAGCCGAGATCGCACCACTGCACTCCAGCCTGAGCAAACAAGAGCGAAACGTCATCTAAAAAAAAATTTTTTTTTAAAGAAAGACATGCTATAAGCAATAAAGAAGTTTAGCTTGACTTACAACTACTCAGGAGGCTGAGGCAAGAGGATCTTTTGAACCTGGGAGTCTGAGGCTGCAGTGAGCTATGATTGTGCCACTGCACTCCAGTCTGGTGACAGAGGGAGACCAATCTTTAAAATGAATGAATGGGCCGGGTGCGGTGGCTCATGCCTGTAATCCCAGCACTTTGGGAGGCTGCGGCAGGTGGATCAACTGAGGTTAGGAGTTTGGGACCAGCCTGGCCAACAGGGTGAAACCCTGTCTTTACTAAAAATACAAAAATTAGCTGGGCATGGTGGCATTCACCTGTAGTCCCAGCTACTCAGGAGGCTGAGGCAGGAGAATCACTTGAACCCGGGAGGCGGAGGTTGCAGTGAGCAGAGATTGCACCACTGCACTCTAGCCTGGGAGACAGAGCAAGAGTCCATCTCAGAAAAAGTAAATAAATAAATAAAATGAATGAATAAATAAAATTTAAAAAAAATTAAAAGTGTCCTATGAATGCCTCTGAGTGGATAGTCTGCTTCCCTCTCACCTTGTTTGCCTTCACTGTGGTCCTGAGGCTGGCTCAGCCTGATGTCTGCTCTCCTGTCATCTGTTGACCGACTTTACCCGTGACCTGGGAATTCACACCTGCCTCCTGCAGAGGACAGGATGTTTTCTGTGGCCACTGCAGCACTGACTCAAATAGGGAGAGCATCTGGGTTTGCTCTCCCCACTTGTAGTTGGTGAATGACATGGAGGACTGATTCCTCTTGTTCCCTGCAGAAATCTATCTTGTGCTATTTAGCAAAAGCCACCTGCCAATGTATTTACACACCACCACATTTTATTAAGGGCTGAGAAAGGCTCAATGATGCATTCAGCCTTTTATAAATATTTCTTAAGATGAGCAAATCGGTACAAGAGGAACATAGGAGGGAAACATCAGGCCAGAGCTGCGATGGGTCCCTCCAATGCACAGCGTAAGGTCTTGTGCAAGTAGGAGAAGTGAGCCTTGCCTTTGACCCTGAGTGTCCTAGGGATCATAGCAATGAGAAAATCACACATGGAAATTAAATCTACCATGCTCATAAGACTCATTCAATAAATGCTTGTTAGCAGATATCCTATTCCAGGCACTTTTTGTCTGTGAGAACACAGCAGTGGATAAGACAGGCAAGTTTTCTTCTCTCGTGAGATCACATTTTAGGTGGAAGAAGGAAGAGAGAAAAAGGCAAGCGATGAGCATTCTGAGAGACTCTGGAGACCACTGTGTGCTGCGAGGTGGCTGGGGGGTACTTTGGACTGGGAAGTGTAGGTGGCTGGGCTTTGCGTGACGATAAGGGGGCTCCTGAGTGGCCGGGAGGGGAGCCGCAGGGCAGCAGGGTAGCTGGTGCAAAGGTCTTGAGGGGAATGCCTTTGGCTTATCTGAGAGACCAAGAAGATGCCCCCGTGGCTGGAATGTGGGAGGCGAGGTTGAGCTGAGGTCAGATGTCAGCGAGGCAAAGGGCAAAGAGGAGGACTGGCTGGCATTGAGCAGGTGAGGCGTGGGATGTGGTTCGTGTTTGTAAAGGCTCTCCTGGCTGCTGTGTGGGACTTGCATTGTATCCGGCAAGTGGGGAAACAAGGAGTCCAGGTGAAAGGCCTTGGCTACTGTCGAGGACAGAGACGCCAGCAGTTTGGAGCAGGCTGGTGGACTAGGTAAGCTCCCTTAGGGAGAACAGAAGGGGCCACAGAAGCAAGCCTTGGGCCCTGCAGCAACCAACACAGCCATTCAGGAGAGCTTGGCTTTAATTTCTCAAGGGGATCCTTAGAAAGAGACACTGGTGTGTAGCTGAATACTTAAAAGCATCACTCCCTCCTCCCTTCTTCCTGCTGCACCTTCCTCGGCTTCTCCCATGCTCGTGGGGTGCAGACCTGACATATCTTTTGTGGCGTGGCAACCAAGGAGTCCTCAGCCGTCACCACGACTGATGCAAAACCCAAGGAGGGTCAAAACAGGAAATGACATCAAATTCATTAGAAGGAGGTAGGATGGGATCATTCTGTTGAAGAGGAGACACAGAGCACTAGTGACTAAATATAAACCTAGTGTGAAGGCCAGGATTTGTCACCGAGGCTGATCATATTCTAATTTGGTGGGCGGATAATCAATGAAACAGATGCACCTGCACAGTTGGAAATGAAGGATGAAAATGCACATGATAGGCCGGGAGCGGTAGCTCACGTCTGTAATCCCAGCACTTTGGGAGGCCGAGGCAGGTGGATCATTTGAGGTCAGGAGTTCGAGACCAGCCTGGCCAACATGGTGAAACCGCGTCTCTACTAAAAATACAAAAATTAGCCAGGTGTAGTGGAGCGCACCTGTCATCCCAGCTACTTGGGAGGCTGAGACAGGAGAATCGCTTGAGCCTGGTAGGTGGAGGTTGTGATGAGCCGAGACTGCACCACTGCACTCCAGCCTGGGCGATAGAGTGAGACTCCGTTTCAAAAAAAAAAAGAAAATGCACATGATTCACTACCTTACACCAGAACCCACAGACACAAAAACACTCTCAGTTAGCAAATTACAGTTGGAGCCCAGCCCATCCTGACTTGTACACATAATTCTCTCTATCCCATCATTTGTTCTCTCCCTTCACTGTACATCAAGTAACTGACATATGTGATCAGATCTATTGTATAACACTATTATTATTTTTTTAACTAAATGGCTAGTGATATAGACAATAAAAGAAAATGAGGTAGAGAAAAACCTTCTTATGAAAGAACCCCTTAGGCCGGGCATGGTGGCTCATGCCTGTAATCCTAGCACTTTGGGAGGCCGAGATGGGCAGATCACCTGAGATCAGGAGTTTGAGACCAGCCCGGCCAACATGGTGAAACCCCGTCTCTACTAAAAATCCAAAAATTAGCCAGGCATGATGGTGTGCTCTTGTAATCCCATCTTCTCAGGAGGCTGAGGCAGCAGAATCACTCGAACCCGGGAGGCAGAGGTTTCAGTGAGCCGAGATCGCACCACTGCACTCCAGCCTGGGTGACAGAGCAAGACTCTGTCTTGGAAAAAAAAAAAAAGAATGCATTAGTGGTGTGCTTGTTCCACTTTTATTTTTGTTTCCCATTTAGTTTTTTACTTTCATTGTTTGACAAACAATAGCAATGACAACAACAGACTCCTCTGCATACTTATTTGATTAGAGAATTCCAATATGTTTCAATTATCATTGTGAAATCAAGGAGACTCATGACTTTTTGTACACAGCTGTTACATGTACGGCAATCAGTTTTTAAGGTGGGATAAATTTCTCTAAAATAAATGATCCTAGATAGCTTTCCTTCAAGTCAAGTGTCTTGCTGTTTAAATCCATTTCTTGTTTAAAGTAATAATATAAAAAAGTTCATCACTTTATCAACAGAACAGTGAAACTATTTCTTATAACAGGAGCAGGGCTGTCATATCATGTCAGAGAGTAAGAGGAATTCTATGAGATTTAAGAGGCCAAGACAGTGTGGTCCAGGTGCAAACTCATGGGTGGATTGGCTTGATCAGGATAAAGCTTAGCATAGCTAGAGGGATGGATGAGTTGTAAATCTTTGCAGAAACCTCTGTGAACGTTCATCACACTTCTTCGATGCAGTCACCTTGACCTGCCATCCACCTGGATGCTTTAGGTAGTAATCTTCCTGGAATCTGGAGGTTTAACCATGTGGCTTCCCAAAGATGCCTGCAGCTACCTGACCCTGGGAGGTTTGAAGACAGTGCTCACTCAGGCCCTGCCGACAGGAAGGCTTTCCCGGCCAAATGGCCAGAGACTTTGGGAGCTTTCAAAAGAAACTCTTAGTTGCCCCAACTCTGCTCTCCTCCAGGAAAAAATTACTGTAGAAGCCAAAGATAGGCAGTTTTTGCCTTTCCTTTTCCACGTGTTTGGTATGTAATAAGTCATTCTCCTGTGAGGTTTAATTACTTTGCATCCTATAGCAAGGCTAGGCCATATAGGATATTATCATATTTCCCCCCTTGATTTCCTGAAAGCTCAGTATTATACCAAAGATGTGTTTGGAAGATTACCGAGTAGTTATTTTATCTGTGCTTATTTTAACTCAATATCTACTTAATATATCTCACGGCTTTTGCAAAAGTGAAATGCGTGAGTAGCTTAAGCTCGCCCACGTTTCCAACCCTGCTTGATCAACTGTACTTGATTCTGCTTGGTCACCCAACAATTAACACACACTTCATGCTCGATCTATGAAAACGTTGACTTAACATTATTTTAGTCAGTCAGCAGATCCCAAGAGGAAATTCTTAGATTTGGAAAATTTTTGTGTGCTTCTTTTGTTTTCAATTTCAGAATGGTGGCAATATATTTGTTAAACATTTATATGAAGCTGACTATGTGCCAGACCCTGTTCTCAATGCTTTGTAAAGTTTAATTTGTAATTTTCAGTCTTCTAACAAGTCTGTGATACAGCGACTATGATTATGCCCATTTTATTGGTGAGGAGATCAAGATCTGCAGAGAGTGAAGTAGCTCATTGAAGAGCCAGAGATGAGATTTAAACCCAGGTTCTATTACTGAGGCCAAACTCTTCTAGATGAGATTGAACTGCTGTTGTTGTTGTTTTGACTTTTCATTTGGAAATAATTCCAAATTTTCAGAAAAGCTTTGAGACTAACAATAGCACACACCCTTTACTGAGATCCACTTACTGTTAACACAGATAAAATTGCTTTTCTAAAACACGCATGCCTATATAGTCACCTTTACCCTAGAATACTTGAGTGCATCTTTGCTAAGAATAGGAATATTCTCTTACAGAACCACCGAGTATTTATCCACTTGAGTAAATTTAACATTGATTTAATTTATTCAATGGTAGTCTGTATTTCCATGATGACAGTTGACCCAATAATGCCCTTTCTTATTTCCTCTGGGATGGGATCCAGTCTAGGGCCCGACATTTGGATCTAGTTGTCATGTCTGTCTGGCCTCCTTTAATCAGAAACATTCCCACAGCCTTCCTTTATCTTTCATAACAATGACAGGCAGCAGAATAAGTTTCCCTGTGCCTTTTAAAGACAGAACAAATGTTCTTCATTGTGTTTGTCTGATGTTTCCTCACGATGAGGCGAGAAAATGAAATACTGCGTAAGTGATCCTGCATCCGTCTCAAAAAAGGTCTCATTTCTGGAGACACTGATGTCCTTCTCACCTCATTGGCGGTGTTGATTTTGATCATTCCTCCCCTCCAGGGCGTTGACTGATTTCCCCATGGTGTAAATTACTAGTTTTCCTTTGCATCTAATAAGCAGCCTGTGGGGAGCCTGAAATATGTTTCTTGCCAGGTGGAGGCACGGTCATAAGGAGCAGTGTGTGTGTGTGAGGATGGAGAGAAGCCCTTCCCTTCTAGGGGAACGTGAGGAGAGTGGAGGGTGCACTTCCTCCACCTGCAGCTGGAAAGTCTGTGCGCCTTTCAGTGATGAAGCTTACAGATGGATGTTGCAGGGCTTTGGGTAGGGCCTGGACCAGGCTCCAGGTAGAGTATTTCGGGCTTGGATGTTTTCAGGCACCAATAAGTCAAGCTTGCATTGATGATATTACAAAGTGGCAGAGGTGCCTCCTGAATGAAAAAGAAATGGAATCCTAACCCTGACTTCTGTCTTTGAGGGTCAAACATATAAAAACATGTCTGATGCCGGATTTCTGGGAAGGGCATTGGTTTCTGGAGGGGAGATTGATAATGGCAGAGATGGAAGTCTGGGCCAGTTTCACACCAGAGGCAGGGGGAAGTTGCAAGGAAAGATTGATTTAGGGTGTGAAATTGCCAACAGATGAAGTTGTTCCACCTGGCACCCTGGTGGTGGATGTATATGGAAGAAAACTTGCTATGAGCCGCAGTTCTGGAGCCCCTCCCTTTCTACTGTGGAACATATTGGCTCAGCACACGGAGGAGCAGAGCCCATGCTTCTTTATACATTCAGAGAGCATCAGAGCTCTCACATGTGGCTAATCACATGTAATCAAAGATAGTAGCTAAAGGCTGGGCGCAGTGACTCATGCCTGTAATCCCAGCACTTTGGGAGGCTGAGGTGGGCGGATCACTTGAGGTCAGAAGTTTGAGACCAGCCTGGCCAACATAGTGAAACCCTGTCTCTACCAAAAATATTTTTTTAAAAATTAGCTGGGTGTGGTGGTGTGCACCTGTAGTCCCAGCTACTTGGGAAGCTGAGGCAAGAGAATCGCTTGAACCCTGGAGGCAGAGGTTGCAGTGAGCCAAGATCGTGCCACTGTACTCCAGTCTGGGCGACAGAGTGAGACTCCATCTCAGGAAAAAAAAAAAAAAAAAAGATAGTAGCTAAAAAAGAGAGGATGAGGAATAATTTTGAGGAATAATTTAGGTAGAAAAGATGGTATGGAGAGAAAATGTAAAACCCAGATGGACCCATAAGTTACTAGTTACTGATATTGGGCATCAAATTTGTCTCTGACCTTTACAGTAAAGGAAAACATGATCAGTTAATTGCAAAAATCTTGTTTCCATGAGAAAAAGCATATCAATTACTCAGGACAAATGAAATATCCCCTGATGCTTAAATATGAATACGTTTGCCTATAATTTGCTCATTGATCATAAAACTTTTCTTTTGTTTCGCCTTCTGTCCATTTTCTCTATAATTGTTGTTTTGCTTGCTGGTGCAATGGTTGAAAGGCCTATAGATGCTGTAAGTGCTGAAGATCTGAGGATGAGGATCTGAGGATGAGGATGGGATGTACTGAAAGTGTTGGGTCATGTTGACAGAGAGCATGGGGTGATTAACGTCACAGTCATCCCAAACCATGGATTCTAAATCTAGGGACAGGTTTTGGCCTGGTTACAGCAACTTTGCAAAGGAGTATATTGCAGCTGAGATCACCCGGGGAACTATGAAACAAGCAATAAAACAAAAGATCTTCAAGGAACACTGAGAAGGGGACTTGTAGGGATCTGCTGTGCAGCGCAAATCCAACCTCAGGAGCTTACAGCAGAGAAATCACATAGACATTCAACGAGAACAACCAAAGTTACTAAAGTAATTGTGGAAAAAGGTTATATAAAGGGGAAACAATACAACAGTAACTCATGGGCACTACATCCTGCCTTTTGAAGGAATTTTATTTTTAGTTATTGTTAAGGATCCTGCAATGTTCTTTTTCCTTTAAAGGGCTCCTCCAAGCCAGGCGTGGTGGCTCACGCCTGTAATGCCAGCACTTTGGGAGGCCGAGGCAGGCGGATCACTTGAGGTCAGGAGTTCAAGACCAGCCTGGCCAACATGGTGAAACCCCGTCTCTACTAAAAATACAAAAATCAGGGGGACGTGGTGGCAGGAGCCTGTAATCCAAGCTACTCGGGAGGCTAAAGCAGTGAGGAGGCACAAGTTGCGGTGAGCCGAGATGGCGCTGAGAGGTGACAGCCTGCTGGCAGCCCTCACAGCCCTCGCTCACTCTCAGCACCTCCTCGGCCTTGGCGCCCACTTCGGCGGCACTCGAGGAGCCCTTCAGCCCACCGCTGCACTGTGGGAGCCCCTTCCTGGGCTAGCCGAGGCGGGAGCCGGCTCCCTTAGCTTGCAGGGAGGTGTGGAGGGAGAGGGGCGGGCGGGAACCGGGGCTGCGCGCGGTGCTTGCGGGCCAGCGTGAGTTCCGGGTGGGTGTGGGCTCGGTGGGCCCCGCACTCGGAGCGGCCTGCCAGCCCCGGGCAATGAGGGGCTCAGCACCCGGGCCAGCGGCTGCGGAGGGTGTGCTGGGTCCCCCAGCAGTGCTGGCCCACCGGCGCTGTTCTCGATTTCTCGCCGGGCCTTAGCTGCCTCCCTGCGGGGCAGGGCTCGGGACCTGCAGCCTGCCATGCCTGAGCCTCTCCCCCACGCCCGTGAGCTCCTGTGCGGCCGAGCCTCCCCGACGAGCGGCGCCCCTGCTCCACGGCGCCCAGTCCCATCGACCACCCAAGGGCTGAGGAGTGCGCGCACACCGCACGGGACTGGCAGGTAGCTCCACCTGCGGCCCCGTGCGGGATCCACTGGGTGACGCCAGCTGGGCTCCTGAGTCTGGGCGGGACTTGGAGAACCTTTATGTCTAGCTAAGGGATTGTAAATACACCAATCGGCACTCTGTATCTAGCTACTCTTGTGGGGACTTGGAGAACCTTTGTGTCCACACTCTGTATCTAGCTAATCTAGTGGGGAGGTGGAGAACCTTTGTGTCTAGCTCAGGGATTGTAAACGCACCAATCAGCGCCCTGTCAAAACAGACCACTCGGCTCTCTGTAAAATGGACCAATCAGCAGGATGTGGGTGTGGCCAGATAAGAGAATAAAAGCAGGCTGCCTGCACCAGCAGTGGTAACCCGCTCGGGTACTTTTCTGTACGGGTGTCTTTCCACGCTGTGGAAGCTTTGTTCTTTTGCTTTTTGCAGTGAAGTTTGCTACTGCTCAGTCTTTGGGTCCACACTGCCTTTATGAGCTATAACACTCACTGTGAAGGTCTGCAGCTTCACTCCTGAAACCAGCAAGACCACGAACCTACTGGGAGGAACGAGCAACTCCAGACGGGCAGCCTTAAGAGCTGTAACACTCACTGCGAAGGTCCACAGCTTCACTCATGCGCCAGTGAGACCACAAACCCCACCAGAGGGAAGAAGCTCTGAACACATCCGAACATCAGAAGGAACAAATTCCAGACACGCTGCCTTTAAGAACTGTAACACTCACCGCGAGGATCCGCGGCTTCATTTTTGAAGTCAGTGAGACCAAGAACCCACCAATTCCGGACACAGCTCCACTGCAGTCCAGTCTTGAGTGTCTGAGGCAGACTCCGTTTAAAAAAAAAAAAAAAGGATCCTCCAATGTGGGATGGGGGTGGAGGAGCTTGGAGGTGGATTCATTCCTTTGGGTTCAGTTAGCCAGTCAACAAACATGAATTGAACTCTTTGTGTTAGTTAGGTAGTGAGATGGGAAAGATGAACTCATGGTCCAAGATGCCCTGTGTCTGAAATATACAAGAGGCTAGGGAGATGTGCAGCAAGGAAGTAATCGTACTGCTACGTGGTTGTGGAGCGCTTAAGAATTATTTTGAATGCTTATTTTCACAACAGCGAATCAGGTCTGCACTAGCATTCCTATTTCCCAGGCACGTTAGAGATGAAATCGGTTGTAAAAACCAATTGTCCTCCACCTTTCATTTCCCATCAGACCACAAGGGGGCGCCGTGCGAGGCGAACACAGCCTTAGATCTGCAAAATGCTGGTCGCTGCGTGAGGGGCTTCAAAACATCCTAGGTGGTGCCCAAAGACCTTGTTGCCTGAGCTGAATAGGTGCTAGCTATTTGCACTGTCAGCGCTCTAAAGGATTTCTGGGGGCCCCCTTTCAACGGGAAGCCACCTGGTACGTGTAAACACCCACAAGTTCACTCCCCTTTGCAAGGGGCAGAGGACCTAGTAACTTTTCTCTAGAGCGCTCTCCTCTGCATACAGGTCCCTACATGTCCCCTTCTCAGTGCTCTTTGCAGATCTTTTGTTTTCTTGCTTGTTGATTTTTCTTTTGCAAACAGGATTGGGGGACCCATTATTTATCCAAAACCTTCTTTTGTCAAATCGTAGGTCCTTTCCAGTGTAGACTGGATGTCTAGACAGAGAGGTAGAAATAATTGCCCAAGGGCAAGGACAGCCTTCACTAAGTTGTCCATTTACATCTTTACATCATTCTAAAAATACACCCACACCAGCCCTTTGTCTTGATATTTTAACATTGGGCAAGGCTGAAATAAGTTACTTCTCTGACCACTGTTTAAAATGTCTCATTCACAACCATTGTTCTTGGAGACTTCAACTTCTTTAATAGGAATTTAAGTCACAAAGGGCCCAGATGGTTCTGAAAAAAAAACCCGTTAGGCTGCCTGGGTCATAAAGAAGGCTCATAAACTGCGCTTGGATGATGACTGGGTGAGGGGCTGTGTGGGGGATAGACAATGTCTGGTGTCTGGTGGTCTCCTGACTGCCAGGCAGGCCAGAGAAAATTAGGGGTATGTTTTCATTTAACATCATTCCCTGCTGACTCTTGTCTCTCTGGAAAATTGACAGTTAGGAGACAAAGTAAGGTGCCCTTTTTGTTAACTCAGTTTTCTTAATTATAGTTGTTGGGAGATGACTTAAATCATGCTGTGAGGTATGGTGGTGGTTCCTGCCCCTCAATGCCCCCTCCCAGGCTGCAGAGGAATTTGCTTTAGAGATTGGTAATAGTTGAGTCTGAGATGAAGGTCAGTCAGTGTGCTGAAGCTTTTCAGTTGCCCTTGTAGAGGTTTCTCCCCCTGCAGGCTGGCCTCTACTCATTAAAACCTTTTCTTTCTTTCTTTGTTTCTTTCCTTCCTTCTTTCTTTTCCTTTTTCTTTCTTTCTTTCTTTCTTTTCTTTCTCTCTTTTTTTCTTTCTTTTCTTCTTTCCTTCGTTCGTTCGTTCTTTTTTTTTTTTTTTTTTTTTCTGAGTCTCACTCTGTTGCCCAGGCTGGAGTGCAGTGGTGCGATCTTGGCTCACTGCAACCTTCGTCTCCCAGGTTCAAGCGATCCTCCTGCCTCAGCCTCCTGAGTAGCTGGGACTACAAGCTCCCGCCACCATGCCTGGCTAATTTTTGTATTTTTAGTAGAGACAGATTTCACTATGTTAGCCAGGCTGGTCTTGAACTCCTGACCTCATGATCCCCCCGCCTTGGCCTCCCAAAGTGCTGGGATTATAGGCGTGAGCCACCGTGCCTGGCCTAGAACTATTTCAAGGCTGTTTTTCTCTTTTCTTTTCCTTCTTTTTTCCCAACCATAAAATAAGCATGTGCCTACACATCCACGCCCTAGGAGGAAGTAAAGTGGGCTTAACTTAGCCTCCTCCAGATAAGAGTCTGGAGGTTCTTGCCCAATGTTGCTCCTCCCTCATGCGCTTTGCTCAGTGCCAGGGAGGGGGAGTGCAGTAAGTGTGGATTGCACCCCAGGCTGGTTCCATGGAGATGGAAATAGCGTTGGCACATCCTAGCTCATGAATGGATCCACATCCATCCAGATGCCCAGCCAAGAAGCCCTTCCCCGGGCTCCTCATCATCATGCACCAGGTGCTGTTCATCACTTTTCCTACGGACTTGCCCTCCCACGTCCCTGGAACCTATCTGCATCTCCCCATCTCCACTCCTCCATTCTAATCCAACGTATCTTCACTGCTTCTCCTAGAACTGATTCAATGCCCTCCTAACTGAACTGCCAGGATCCACATGGCCCCTCTTCACCACTCTCCACACTGCAGCCAGGGAGCTATTTTCAGAGCAAAAATATGATGGTGTCATATAGCTGTTTAAAATTCTTTAATTAGGCCAGGTGCAGTGGCTCACACTTATAAGCCCAACATTTTGGGAGGCTGAGGGTGGAGGATCTCTCAAAGCTAGGAGTTTGAGACAAGCCTGGGCAACACAGATATCTGTCTCTCCAAAAAAAAAAAAAAAAAAAAAAAAAATTAGCTGGGCATAGTGTCATACACCTGTAATCCTAGCTACTTGGGAGGCTGAGATGGGAGGATTGCTTGAGCCCAGGAGTTCAGGCTGCTGTGAACTAGGGTCTTGCCATTGCACTTCAGCCTGGGCAATAGAGCAAGACTTGTCTCTTAAAGAATAAAAATAGGGCCAGGCGTGCTGGCTCACGCCTGTAATCCCAGCACTTTGGGAGGCTGAGATGGCGGATCACAAGGTCAGGAGTTCAAGACCAGCCTGGCCAACATGGTGAAACCCCATCTCTACTAAAAACAGAAAAATTAGCCGGGCGTGGTGGTGTAGGCCTGTGGTCGCAGCTACTCGGGAGGCTGAGGCAGGAGAATCACTTGAGCCTGGGAGGTGGAGGTTGCAGTGAGCCAAGATCACACCACTGCACTCCAGCCTGGGTGACAGAGCTTTTGTCTCAAAATAAATAAATAAATAAATAAATAAATAAATAATCTTTCAATCATTTAATGTGGCCTTGAAGGCCTTGCATGGCCAGGTACCTGCCACTTCTTCAGCCTCATTTCTCACCATTCTCCCACTTCTCTGCTGTGCGCCAGGCACACTGGACTCTTCCTGGTCCTAGAACACAGCAGGATCCTGGGGTTCTCAGGGCCTTTGTCCTTACTCCTACTTCTGCTTGGAATGTCCTTTCCCAGCTTTGCTTAGATAAAGTCCATTCACTCATCAGATCTCACATCAAACATCTTTTCCAGAAGAAAGCCATCCCTGCTCCCCACACTACTTTAGGATGCGCCAATATTCCCTCTTATGGAGCTATGTATCTTGACTTCATAGTGTTTCATAGAGTTGCGCTTTTCTTTTCTTTTTTGACAAAACCAACATTTTTTTTTCACTCACCAGATTGGAAGTTTCATAAAGCAAGGGATGTATTAAATTTTTATTGCTTCCCTTGTACCCTCAGTGCCAGGTACATAATAGGTGTTCAATAAATATTTGCAGAACAAATGAATGATTGAAGTTGTATTGATAGTAGTGCAAACTTGGAGGAGAGGCTAATAAAGCCTGTCCAAAATATACCACCCACCAGGTGTGTATAACTTACTCTCTGCCTTTCCTGACTTGTATTTTGAATGTCAGAGATGAAGGTGAATAACAATGAGTAAATAGGATGAAAGAACAGAAAAATCAAAGATACTCAGGAATGACTGAGTGGCCCAGAGAGGCTGTTCAGGAGAATTCATGAAAGGATATAGTAGGAAATGAGAGTGAAAGAGCCATTTGGGGTTAGATCATGATGGGCCTTAAAAGCCACATCATATACTTTAAAGTGTTAGACTTTAGAGAAAGAATAATAGCACATAAGTGATGCTGTACTAGAAACAAGCTGTGGTCTCACTATATTTACTGTAAAGATGATATGTCATGATGCTGTATGATTTACTGTGTTATATAACCCGTTATGAAGACCCTGGTGAGAAATCTCTCTGAGGTCCCAGTATGGGAAACAGTGGGCTTGATTTCATTTTATGGATACTTATAAATCATATAACGGATTTCATTTTCCTTCCTTCCTTCCTTCTTTCTTTCTTTTTCTTTTTCTTTTTTGAGATGGAGCCTTGCTTAGTCGCCCAGGCTGGAGTGCAGTGGCGTGATCTTGGCTTACTACAACCTCCGCCTCCCAGGTTCAAGCAATTCTCCTGCCTCAGCCTCCCGAGAGTAGCTGGGATTACAGGCTCCCACCACCACGCCCAGCTAATTTTTGTATTTTTTAGTAGAGATGGGGTTTCACCATGTTGGCCAGTCTGGTCGTGAACTCCTGACCTCAGGTGATCTGCCCACCTTGGCCTCCCAAAGTGTTGGGATTACAGGCGTGAGCCACCGCACCCGGCCGGATCTCATTTTCTTTATCTCATGGGCTGTCCAGAAAACTCAAGGCCAAAGTTCACAGGCCTTTGCAACATGCATTTTGTGTATGAACTATGTTAACAGCTACGTCTTATTTTTTTTACCTTTATTTTCTTTTTATTCAGTTGTCTTCTTCTAAAACGAAAATATTGTATGCACCTTAGTCTTTGTGGGGAGAAAGAGACTAGTTATATGAATTAATAAATAATGTGAGTATTTTACTATTAGGAAAATTAATTGCAAAGAGGACCATATTCAAAATCACATACAAATGTCATAATATTTAAAATTGCACGCGAATATCTTTTGTCCATGCCTCTTACCTGATTTGGGGTAAAGCTACCAGCTAAACCCTGCTCAGGTCATGACTGTAATGCAATTACCCAGAGAATATCCTTTGTACACTTTTCTACCTGCAGCTCCCAGAGTGCTTGTGTGGTATAGGGAAAGGGCTACTTCCATTTTCCAGCCTTGAAACTTGGGCCAAGTTGTTTAATTCCCTTCTAGCTTCAGCCTCCTCCTCTGTAAAGTGAAAATAAGAACTATCTATAAGAGGTTTGCTATGAGGGCAAAGATAATGTGCTTGATGTAGTGTCTGCTAACTCAAACTAGACACCAATAAATGGTGGCGATTGATGTCATTTATACACTAGCACATCTATTGATCTTATGCCTTAACATAGCCAGGGTTTAACCACTTAAATCATATTTTTTCAAAGTATGTATTTGTCCTTATCATTCTTGCCACCTTCAAAAGCCTTTCCATGCATCAAGCACCTCTTCTTAGATTAAATTTCTAGATGGGCCAGACAATGTGTCTCTGACTCTATTTATCTTCCCATTTGTATGTATTTTATTTTTCTTTCACTTTTTTGGTTCTCTTCTGAGAGATATTTTTATTTTAAAATTCTTCATATAAAATTGGGCTTTCCAAAGCATTTCTACAAAAAAATCCTGGTCCCAAGGAGTTGATGATTTGGGAAAGCTCATCCAAATTAATTATTGGTTTGTTTCCTCCATGTTTATTCTAAGACAAATATTCAGATAATCAGAAATGAATGGGGGAAATAATAAAGTATCTTCACATACTTATTTAGAAGCTTTGTACAGATTCAGGGTGAGTATGGGTGCTAAAGATCAGAACAGGTGCTGCCCCGTAGCCTATTGGTTCTAAAAGACTGTTAAAGACAGAGGACTTGACCTTGATGAATGTAGTCGAGAACAATAATGATTCTGTGAGCTGAGTCACATTGGCGGGCCTCACCCTTTTGTTGGGGGAGGAAAACGAAAACTATCTGAATATCCTAGACCAGGTTTTTATAAATGTTAAGAGAGAAAACAGCTTTTAGGGTCAAAATAATTTTGTGAAGTAGTAGACAAGGCAAGTTTTTATATTGTAAGACTTCTTGGAGCCCTTTTTTTTTCTTTTTCTTTTTTTTTTTTTTGAGACAGAGTCTCACTCTGTTGCCCAGGCTGGAATGCAGTGGCGTGATCTCAGCTCACTGCAACTTCCGCCTCCCGGGTTCAAGTGATTCTCCTGTCTCAGTCTTCCGAGTAGCCGGAATTACAGGCGCCCGCCACCAAGCCTGGCTAATTTTTGTATTTTTAGTAGATATGAGGTTTTGCCATGTTGGCCAGGCTGGTCTTGAACTCCTGACCTCAGGTGATCCACCCACCTCAGCCTCCCAAAGTGCTGGGATTACAGGCGTGAGCCACCAAACCCGGCCTAGAGCCTTTTACATGCTCACGAGTATTAAGTCTCTCCAAGAGACTGATATACGATGTTGTATTTTTCAAAATGACAATGCAGCCCTGTTTTCAAGTAATATGTACTGACTGTTTGTTTCTGACTATATCTTGAGAACCTAGATGACCTAAGAACATAGCATTTTGCTTTAGCATATACTGTGTATCTCTTGCAGTCTGTTACTTGTTTCACTGACTCTTTTCTAATCACCCTGTGTCAGGGTCTTTCTTGCTTCTTCTCTCTGTCTCTCTCCTCTGCTCTTTCCTCTCCTCTGCTCTCCATCCCCTCCCTTTTATCCTTTCATAGTCTTCACTATCTGTATCATCTTTGTCTCATCCAGGCTCCCCATCCTGCTTTCTCTCCTTTCTCTTCTTTGAAAGGATATGATGCCATCTAATGCCCAGTTTCATTAGGCCAACGAATATTTGGTATGTCTATTCTGAATGAATTCTCTGAAGGTACAAAATGCAAAGCCAAAGTCGCTGCAGTGTGATTCTAGAGAGCCCCTCATCACCTAAACTCTCCACTGCATCTCTGCAGCACGCCGTCCTGGCCACCAGCCTTTGCCAGGCTTTCCTGTGCCGTCCAGTTAGCCTTTCTGGTATAGTCTGAATGTATCTCCCAAAAAGCGTGTGTTGGAAACGTAATCCCCCTTGCAACAGCATTTGGAGGTGGGGCCTAATGGGAAGTATGGAGAGCTCCACCCTCATGCATGGTTAATGGGGATTATAAAATTTTGGGCTTGAGGCTGCCGGTTCAATCCCTTGCTCTCTCATGCTCTCTTGCCTTTCTACCTTCCATCATGGGATGATGCAGCAAGAAGGCCCTCACTGGATGTGAGCCCTCAACCTTGAACTTCTCAGGTTCCAGAACTGTGAGAAATACATTTCTGTTCTTTATACATTACCCAGTGTTTGGTATTCTGTGATAGCAGCACAGTACAGACAAAGACACCTTTCTTTATGATCAACCTCTTCAACCCCACCCTTGGCAAAAAGCTCTTTCTCACCAGCTAGATCACTTTGATTTTTCTCATTCTCTCTACTTTAAAGTCTTTGCCTGTAAATTACTTAAACATTTGTCTATAATCTGCCTTCAATTGTTTAAAGGACATGTTTACTTTTTATTTCAAACAAAGGGAGGCAGAATCCACGTCTCCCTTCTTCTCCTGTCCCTTTGGTCCACAGCACGTTGCTGAGCACACAGAGACACTGGCTGTGAGGTGGGGCCAGCTCCTCTGGCGGAGACAGCTGGGGTTCTATTGATACGCAGGGCAGATTTGCCTGCTCTGGCCGGCCAGGCAGGAAATGTTCAATGAATAAGTGAATCCTTGTTGTTTTTTATGTTCTTTGGTGAATGACAATATTTCTTTTGTCATAATCCCTCAAAAATATAAAGAATGTAGATGTGGTTTATGGGGAAGCATCTAAAACCCAGACAGGCTTTTACCAACTCAGGGTTAGGAAGCCACATTTGTCTTCCTGGTGGGACATGAACGAGCTCAGTATCATTGACTCTAAAGCAGTAGCCTGCTATGGATTTAGAAGCTTGGCTTTCCGGTTTGTTCTCTTTCTATGGAACCGCCAATGTTTCTGTGAACTGCTGATAATATTGACTTGAAAAATTGGAGCATTAGAGTTAGTTGGGAAATGCTTTGCCTCTTTTTAAAATCAACTTTATTCAGGTAAGGCTTATATACAATAAAATGCACCTATTTTTAGTGTATTTTATAATAAGTTTTGACAAATTTATCCATGCACACAATTACTGCAACAATCAAGATATAGATACCGTGCTGTCCAGTAGAATAGCCACTAAACACATGTGGCTATTTCAAGTCTAATGAGCTAAAATTAAAATGAAAAACGTCCTCAGTTGTACTAGGTATGTTTCAAATCCTCAGTAGCCATATGTGACTGTTATTCAGCATATTAGACAGTGCAAATGGAAGACATTTTTACCATTGCAGAAAGTTCTGCAGTGTTGGACAGTGATGATATAAAACATATCCATCCTACCAAAAGGCTCCTTCGTGCTCTTTCCCAAATAATCGCCAACCCCTACCCCTGGCCTTAGGAAATCACAGGTCTAATTTTTGTCACTACAGATTAGATTCCTGCCTTCTGGAGCTTCATACAGAATTCCTCTTTATTTGCCTGGCTTTCATTCAGCATGTTTCTGAGGTTGATCTGCTCATGTTGTTACATGTCTAATTTGTTCACTCCTTTTCATTGCTCAATAGTATTCCATTGTATATATAGACCACAATTTACTTATCTACTCACCTGTTGATGACATTTGGGTTGTTTCTATTTGGCACAATTATGAATAAAGAAATTAGCTTTTCATATGGATATATGTTTTCATTTTTTGGGGGGTAAATATCTATGATTGGGATTGCTGGGTTATGTTGAAAGCATATGTTTAACTTTATTAGAGGTTACCAAACCATTTTCTAAAACGATTGTACCATTTTACACTCCTATCAGCAACGGAAGAGAGTTCCATTCTTACCAATTATTACTGGTTTTATTTTGTTTTGTTTGCTTGTTCTATTAATTACTGAGAGACAAGTATTGAAATCTCTACCTATCATTATAGATTTTCTATTTGTCCTTTCAGTTATATCAGTTTCTGCTTCATGTATTTTGAGACTTCGTGATTGGTACATACACATTTAGGAATGTTTTGTCTTTTTTATGAATTAATCCCTTTATCATGAAATGCCTCTCTTTGCCCTTGTTCTGAATTCTACTCTGTCTGTTAATAATATAGCTGCTCCGGCTTTTTAAGAAAAAAATAGAATGCACATGGTACATCTCTTTCTATCCCCTTGTTTTTAATTTATCTGTGTATTTTTATTTCAAGCGAGCATCTTTTAAATAGCATATAGTTGGTCTTGCATTTTAAAATCCAGGCTGAGAATCTCTAACTTTTAATGGGAGTGCCTAGACCATTTACTTTGAAAAAATTAACAAAGAATAAACTGTACATATTTAAAGTGTACAATCTGAAGAGGTTTGGCATGCATACATCTGTGAAACCATCACCACAATCAAGACAATGGACACTGCTTTCATTCCCAAGTTTCCATGGACTTCTTTGGAATCCATTCCTTCCACCATTTCTCTCTAGGCAACCACTTATGTGCTTTCTGTCCCTATAGGTTAGTTTGAATTTTCTAAAATTTTGTATAAATGGAAACATAGCATATGTATTCTTTTTGTCTTGCTTCTTTTTTGCGTCATAATGATTTTGAAGTTCATTCATGTTGGCTATTTGTTGCAATATTTTTCCTTTTGATTTCTGTGTAGTATTCCATTGTGTGGATATACCGCAGTGATTTTATTCATTCATATAGATGAACAAACATCTGGGTTCTTTCTAGCTTTTGCTATTACAAATAGAGCTGCTATAAATATTTTTATGTAAGTCTTTGTATGGACATATGCTTTTATTTCTTCTGGGTAAATACCTAGAAGAGAAATTGCTAGGTCATAGGGTAGACATAGGTTTAACTTTTTAGGAAATCGCCAATCTGTTTTCCATAGTGTTTGTACTGTTTAACATTCTTACCAGTGATATACAAGAGCAATGTTTGCTCCCCTTTCTTGCACCAACACAGGGTATCATTTGTCTTTTTAATTTTAGTGATTCTATTTGGTGTGGTGTTTATTTACTTTTTCCATTTACCTACATAAGTCTTCTTTTATGAAGTTTCTTCTCCAAATTTTTGCCGAGTTAAAAAAATTTAGTTTTTTGTCTCCTAAGTCTGATGTAAGTCCTTGGCTGATAGATGTGATGTATTTTCTCCCATTTTCTGGCTTGACTTTTGGTTTTTTAATGGTATCCTCAGAAGAATAAGAGTTTTTAATGTTGACAAAGTCCAATAAATCATTTTTTTTCTGAGTTAAGTTTTTAAAGTGTTTCAAATATGGAAATTTTGTCTACCTAAGATAACAAAGATTTTCTCCTGTGTTTTCTTCTAGGAGTTTTAAGTTTTACATTTAGGTCTATGATCCATTTGGGTTAATCTTTGGGTAGAACGTAAGGTACACATTCATTTTATTTCATAGATCTAGTTGTTCCCGCACCACTTTTTTTTTCGGAAGAGTTTTCATTCCCTCCTTGAAGTGCCTTGACATTTTGTCAAAAATAAATTAATGCTTATATGTGTGGGCAAAATGGTACATGATACATTTAAATAATTTGTCTGTAAATCTCAGTGGGATACCTGAATAAAAGAGTGGGCCAACCATTAAAAATGATAATTACATGATTACAAATCTCTTATTTTCATTAAATATAGTTTGCTTTAAATTATTTCTTTATGACTATTCCAAAACAAATAGAAAAATTTTCTTTGATTCTAAAAACCACATGACTGGTAACATCCATATTATGAAAACAAATCATCCTATATGTTACTGAGTGTATGGGTTTTTTGGTGAACACAAGTCTTGTTCCAGATATTTGAATTTGATAATGTTCACAGATTCTAGAATTTTCTTTGAATGCAAATACACTTGGAAGTGACACATATACAGAGAAAACCAAACCCTCAATTTTCCTAAAAAAATCCAGACCTATAGCATTGCTAAAATAATCATAATTTAACTTTTTATATTAGGAGTACCAAAGTAAGCCAATATTTAATTCTGTGACAGAGGAGTATGAAAAAGAAAACCCAGTGGCTATGAAAACAGAGATCTAAAAATTTAATGATTTAAAAATAGCCTCTACATACAAGACGGCAAAGAGTAATACAGATTGAACATTTGGTTTTAAAAATGTGAAATGTCTCCACTTAGCGTAGATCAATCAAGTCAGCCATCTCCTAAGAAATACACATTATACAATGAAATCTACAAAGACACACTTTTTAACTTCAAGCGTTGTTGATTTTCAGCAACCCTCTTCCCACATGAACATTTCCTTGTAATGTAATGTATGACTTTTAATCTTCTTTTGGCAGAGTAGGACTTTGAGAATTATAATAGCAGTTGTTTTGAAAAGCACCTTCTATGATCATTTATTTCCACTGATTTTTTTTTAATCACTCTGAGATCATGCATTCTTGTTTTTTAAATCCTTTTCTGTTCCAATGATTTGGTTGTTTAAAACAAGCAAGCTTAATTCAGTCAGGCATATATTGCAAATAAAAACATGTTTCCAAGTAGGCTGGAATAAAAATGCTAAATAAGAACTGGGCCAAAAGATCATAGATAATGTGCTTCTTCTCTTGGTAATATGTGAATACATTTACCCATGGGGTAGAAGTATTTCACCTGCCCCATGAAGAACCTGATGGCTTGTGGTGTCTGTGCTGTGTCAATACTAACAGATGTGAGGAGACAGACTATGGAATGGACGCTGTGACTATCTGTGAGATAGTGGAAGGGGTTATACACACTGGCCACAGGAAGTTGCAAAAATTAGATGGACTCTGTGTAGCTAGCCACTCTTGAGTGTCAGGTCTGCATATGTGAGTTTTAAAGAAGGTGCAAGATAGCAATAAATTCCCTTAGAGAGCAGGATATGTCCTGGTAGCTCTATAGTTCCATGATCAAGGACCTGGCCAGTTTCCCTCAGGTAATGGGGGTAGTAGCACCAAAGTGAATATTAAGAGTCAGAAAGGCCTCTACTTGCAACTGGCGGATCAAACCATTCCCCTATTTTGGTGAACAATCATAGTCTGATACGCCTTTGTAAATCTTTGCTGCAAATATGGTTTTTACAACTCTAAAAACATCTTTTGGAAAACCTCATGACTGAACCACTCACAAATGCAGAAGATTGAACAGCCCCAGGGAGGCAATTGCTCTCCTTTTATTGTAGCTGTCTCTCAGTATTGAAACAACCCAATCCTAACTGTGGTCCTGGCCTCTAAACACACAGGTCTCTCTTCCCTCCAGCACCTGAACTATCAGAGCTTGGATCCACATATATATTCTGAAATTTGCTCCGCAAGAGGGCTTTTGGGCACTTGGCCATCATGTGTTTAAGATGGTCAGTTTTGAAAAGAGTTTTCCAAACAAGAATAAGTCATGCTATGCCTCATGATTTGGAAGGTGAACACTTGCAAATAAACTATGCTTCCCAGATTTGGGAGTGCCAGGCTCAGAATCATCACAAGGACGTGGAGAACAATATTATAACCAGCTGGTATGTTTTTAACAACAACAAAAAAAATGCAGCATTAGAAGGTGCTTACTAAGGTGCTTCGTAATTCATGGTTTTTTTTTTAATGAAATGCATCAGACAAACATCTACAAACAAACATGAATACATGGGCATACAAAAGCACGTGGACAAGTTTTCTGTACAGTTTATGTCTCAGATACTTCTATGTATACATAAGAACCACTCAGGGGGAAAAAAAAAGATTTCCCTCTCCAGCTCCCTGAATTTCTGAAAGTTGACTGACCCATAAAATGTTAAAATATTTCATTTTTATATAAAATATCTACAAAAATAGATAACATTTACAAAAACCAGACAGTATTTCCAGTTTTCCTTAGTAACCGTTAACGCAGTCCCCTTCCTCTTTTTTTTCTTCTCAGAACGTTGCCATCTCCAGCAAAGAGCGCTTGAACAGCTGGGCATTTCTAGAAAGGTCTGTCACTTGGTGCACCATTTCCTGCAGGGCCGTGGTGCTGGGGTAATGGAGGGCGGCCATCTTGGTTGCCATGACTATGGTCTTGAGCTGCTCGCAGAGCTGGTTGCTGGAGTTCATGACTTTGTTGCGAATGTCCTGGGCAGTCACCTGCCGTGTCAGCGTGTCTCCAATGAACACCAGTTTGTGTGCACTGAGGATGACAAACTTGCTGTGTGCCACGAAGATTCGCGGGGGCTGGGCTGAGCTGACACAACTGAAGAGTGCGTCAATGGCGTTGAGAAGGGAAATGAAATGGGTCTCACATTGGTCATAGTAGAAGCACAGCAACTGCCGATCCTGAGCACTCACGCCACTGTTTGTGGTGGGTAGGCTCTGAGAGGGCTTCCACTTCGAGATGTCATTCTCCACGGGCTTTGTAATCTCTTGTTCCAACAGCTGGAACTGGCTCAGCTGCAAGGAAGACGAAAGCAGATCTCATTAGAGCAAGGGAGTGTGTTGCAATGGAAATTCACTAGGCCTTGGAGTTAAAAGACAGGGATTTTAGTCGCTAGTAACTGTCAGATGCATGTGAGCTGTAAAGCCTGGGTCAAGCTGCCTTGCTTTCCTAAATTGTAAAATGTAGACGTTGGGAAAGATGATCCTCAAGCTCAGACCTTCTATGATTGGACTACTGGTCTCTTGTACCCTCTGGCTAGAAGGTAGCATAGTGTTTAAACCGCAGCCCTGTTACCTACACCTTTATGGAGGTTAAATGAGTTAACGTTTACAAAATGCTTATAATAGTTTGGTATGTAGTAGGCTCTATGTAAATGTTTATTAATGTTGAGGGGTGGCAAGGGAAAACCAAATGTAGTGACCTCCTTGTCAAGTAAGTCACTGACAGTTTGCTCCTTCTCGGAGAAAGCCTCGACTATCTCAGGATGCTCAGATGAAATGACCATTCATGACCCCTTTCTGTTTATCCTACTCTTTCTGTCAAGATTGATAGACATGTTATGATCCAGCACTACAGGAAGATTAATGCATATAAATATATGAGCACTTAAGGAAAAAAAGTTTCTAAGGCAGTCTGAATGGGAATTGTGCATCATAATATTTAGTCCCCCAGAGCTGTTAAAAGAAGGGGGTTTTACCCAGAGTCAGATGCATCAGGTGCTGGCTTTCTTCCTTCTTTCCTCATTGCTACCAAATGGTGTATTATTTAAATTGCAATTATAATAATTTCTAGGGATTCCACTAAGACTCAAGAGAGACCTCTCTTCTGCAGATAAGGACTATCTGTGACCTGAGCTTCAGACTCAGTTAATCTCCCACCTGGACGTAGGGATGAGCTGGAGCAGTGATCACCTCACCCAGCTTCCCCAGCTTCTCTGAGAGATGCACAGCCAGCTTTACTTTACTTTTCTTTTTTTTTGAGACAGAGTCTTGCTCTGTCACCCAGGCTGGAGTGCAGTGGCACGATCTTGGCTCACTGCAAGCTCCGCCTCCCAGGTTCACACCATTCTCCTGCCTCAGCCTCCCAAGTAGCTGGGACTACAGGCGCCCGCCACCATGCCTGGCTAATTTTTTGTATTTTTAGTGAGACGGGGTTTCATTGTGTTAGCCAGGATGGTCTCGATCTCCTGACCTCATGATCCGCCCGTCTCGGCCTCCCAAAGTGCTGGGATTACAGGTGTGAGCCACCGTGCCCAGCCTTCAACAGCTTTACTTTTCTAGAATCTGTTTTCTTCTTAGCGATTGCTATGGTTTCTACAAGTTCCCCAAAGCCCTGCAGTCTTACCTTGCCAGATGCCAAGGCAAACATAAATAGGTACAAGGTGATATTCCAAGGTATTTAATCATAATGGATTATATTTTATATATCTTAGGCTTTATGCAAATATGTTCATCAATATATCATGTCATTAGATGGGGGGGGTACTTTCCCATTTTATAGGGAAGTAACTGAAGCTCGGGGAGGTTACCTGACTTGACATAGTTGGTTGGCCAGAAAGGATTAGAACTCAGATTTCCTAAATATAGCATGCCATTTCATGTCATTACATGCCATTTCACTTCATTTCATCTTAAAAGGCTTGTAAATAAATCCTCAATCCATCTCTCTTTATTTGTATGCCCTTGTTCTAGCAATAGTCGTCATTATCTCCCCTACTCATACCCAGCTTTTGAATGAACATGCCCTGCCCAAAGTCCTCAGTAGATAGGCCTGGATATATGTTGAAAACATTGAATTCTGCTCTCCTACCTTTAGATTGGACCAAGGCCAGGCAAACCATAGGCTTGTGTTGCTGGCGAAAGAGAGACAAATAGCGAGGTAGAGACAGAAAGAGAGAGAGAGAGAGAGAAAGAGAAATGGCCCAATCAACGTGGCCCAATCAGACTCTTTCTTGGGAATCTGATGAACAAGAGAAGGGAGCTAACCATCGGAAGAGGAAGCCGAGATGAAAAGCCATCTATAGAAGTTCTGAGTGGCCATTTATGGGTTCTGCAAAGTTACAGGGGAGCCAAATGAGTAGATAATTAGAGAAAACCAGAAAATAGGTGAGAGTGAAGTAGACTGATAGAAAGAAGCAAAGGAACTACAAGAAGGAGAGATAATTTACAGTTCTAGTTCTCCCCAGACCTGGCTCTATCTTCACTTTCTGTTACTGAATTCCCCTACTGTGGCTTTACTATAAACCTGCTTGCTTAGGCTAGCTTGAATGGGTCTTGTTTCTTGAGACCAAATGCCTTAACCCAAATAGTCCTCATATGTTAGATATGCAGGTTTAGCCTTTAAAAAAATTGCCGTTTAGATGGAACCCAGGTACACCCAGTTGAACTAACAAGGTCATAAACCTTCTCTTTGCTTTTAAACCCCATTCCGTGCTTTGGAGCTGATTCCTGCCAGTGAGCTGGAAGAATCAAAATCATAATCTCTTGAAGTGATACCTTTCCTTAGTGCTAGGTGGGAAATCTTTCCAATGCCAAGCAGTTTTTGCTCTGATTGAACTTACCTGATGATGTTCCAGCTGCATCTTGTTCTGTTTCATGATATTCTCTTTTTCCAATAGCTCTTTCTGTTGCCTCTCAAACTCCTCCTTACCCTGTTAATTTTCAACATAAAGAACATATTATGTCATCACTGTGATTCACTTATGCTAACAATTTCATTGACGGATGAGTAAATACTCTTTATTTTCCACTGCCTTGGCAACATCTCAAATGCCCAGTGAGGCACTGTGAACCCTAGACGACAGGGGTGGCAGAAAAATAAAGCCCATTGCCATATAGGGTGCCAGCTTTCTGGGGCACCTTAAAATTTTCGGAGAGCTACTCATGATTCCCTTCAAATCTCATATATAATGTTCTTTTTATAGTCTCTGGGTTCTTTTCTCATAGATTATATGTGAACCTGTAAACCCCCAAATGCAGGTCTAAATGTGGTCCACCTCTCACTTCTAGTTCCCTCAAATCATCTATAGATTTCTGCTCCAAGGCAGTAGTTCCCACTGTGCAGGGTCAGACAACCAGTAAGATGAATGTTCAATGCCTCCATCCTCTCTCTCTCCACTTCCTTCCTCAGCATCAGGTGGGGCTCAGTTCTCCTTGCCACACTTTCTTGCGCTTGAGGGAATTTGGCATAATAGTTACGTAGTTCTCAGTATAATCTGTGACTCTCAGTCAAATTAAAAGAATGGCAGAATAAGATAGTAAGCCTAGTCCTAAACAATGGATCTTGGTAGATTTTTTTTTTTTTTTCTGAGACAGAGTCTCGCTCTGTCGCCCAGGCTGGAGTCCAGTGGCACGATCTTAGCTCACTGCAACCTCCGCCTCCCAGGTTCAAGTGATTCTTCTGCCTCGGCCTCCCAAGTAGCTGGGACTACAGGCGTGCATCACCATGCCTGGCTAATTTTCGTACTTTTAGTAGAGATGGGGTTTCACCATATTGGCCAGGCTGGTCTTGAACTCCTGACCTTGTGATCCACCTGCTTCAGCCTCCCAAAGTGCTGGGATTACAGGCGTGAGCCACTGCGCCCAGCCAGTAGAATGTTTTAATCCCTCAAAGTGGAAGGGAAAGCTGTCGGAATCCCAGGTCAACTTGGAGCTTGGTAGAATTCCCAATTGTAGGAGGCCAACTGTGACTATCCAATGTCCCATACACAGATTAAGCTCCTAGGACAGCTAGCTAATGCCCAGTGGTCCTCTAGGTAAGTCTGAGATGGGGCTAAGTTTTAAAGCAATTATACACACACATACACAGAGTAGGGCTAGCAGGGGCCTTAGAAATTCTCTGGTGCAAAGGTCTTCTATTCTTTTTCTTAATGACGAAAACTTTTTTTTCAAATAAAATATTGCATGGAACTATACATAAAACACAAATAGAAGTGGAGCTGGTATTATTATTAGAGGGCCTATTATCCTACTTGGTGAGTCTCCTCTTACCTGAGGTATATCAACGGGATCTAATCCAACCCCTTACCCCATTCATTTTGCAAATGAGGAAATTAAGGCCCAAGGAGGTTGAATAAGTTGGTCACACAGTAAACGTCAGAGAAAGGGCTAGATCTGAGTGAGTACTCAGGACTCTCAGCCCAGCGTTCTTACTACTCTACGACACTCCCTCCAATTTGTGAACCATGTAGATTAACATTAATTATGTTCTCTCCTTTGGCAGTCCAACCCGACATCCTTATAGGCATCTTTCTCAGGCTCCCTGCATGTGAGTGAGTGTAGGTGTTTTATGAGTTCCGCTGTTTTACCTGTAGGTGGACGTAATCGTAGTCATCCATCCAGCTCCTCTCAGAACCATCACTGCTGCTACAGTCAGGGGCCTGCTCCTTGCTCAGGCCTGGGGGCAGTGCCTTGTTGTGGGCCTGGGCCTTGTGGTCACCAGGATGCAGCAGCTGTCCCTGGGAGCCACCGTGTGGGTACTCCGTTGAGTTCATGATGCTCTCCGGCCCATTCTTCAGATGCAAGCTGCCAGGGCCGGGTCTGAAGAGGGCCTCTGCGTTGGTGTTGATGGTTGTGGTGAGCTGCTTGGCGTCATCGGGCACCGTCTTTGCCACCATCACAAACCGGTCCAGATCGTCACACTTGTTCTGGGGCTTGTTGATGGCCAAGATATTCAGGGACCAGCTGCACTCATTTAAGTCATGGCTGGTTTGACTCAGGATCTGGTGGGAGTCTTCAACTCGTTGCAGCTCCCGCTTCATCTTGTTGTGGAGGATGAGTTCCGGGAGGCAGGCAGCATTTGCAACAGCTCCCTTGACAAAGTGGAGGTACTCCTTCAGGAACAGCTCCACCTTGTCCACTGCTGTGCGTATTTCATTGATGTGTCTTTCCATATATCCGTAACACCGCCAGTCGGTAGTGACCAGTGCCATTAGGCTGGAGACACCCATCTCAAGGGCCTGCTGGAGCCGCTGAAGTCTCTCAATAGCTGTGTCTGGATCCAGGAAGAGCCTTTTGTCCTGAGCTGGGGAGGCTGACAGTGAGGACTCCTTGGAGGAGGTGGAAGACGTGGACATGTTACTCCGGGTGCTGCCTGTACTGGAGAAAGACAATCGGTTGATCCCATCCACCAAGTCCCGAGAGCCTTTAGCATCTGGCGGGTTATGCAGAGGGACATCATAAACACCATCCCTTTCCTGGGGGTTTGCTTTCTCACTGGTTTCTGCTGGTGGCTCAAGAAACTGAACGCCTCGGGGGACATCATATGCGTCGTTCTGAGAGCCCACTGACTGTCCGAGTTGCGGGGGTGGGTGATTCGGGGACAGGCTCTGGTGCCTTCGAGCCACCGGTTCTGCAGCTCCTGGAATGTCACAGTTGTATTTTACATGAAGGTCCTTCCCTGCTGGCTTGGTGCAGGTTGGAGGAATGTCATAAACCCCCTCCGGTCTGAGGTCCGGCCTTCCAGCTTGTCTCATGGGAGGGGGGAAGTCATAGTCTTTTTCCCTAAGCCCTGCTTCATCCCGGCAAGCAGAGGGCGGAATGGCATATACCTGCAAAGCAAGTAGAAAGCGAAATGCTATTTATTGAGTTGGCTCATGGGAACCTGTGGTCCCATGTGCTCAGTCCTATTTGCTGGCACTTTTTCGGTCGCCCTCCCCCGCCCCAATGTTAGGCACTTCCAAGGTTCCCCGTTATTCTGCTGTCACTTCCCTTGTCCTTTGCCAAGTGTGTCCAACCCCACGTTCTTGGTGCAGACTCGTATGTACAACCCTCCTGGCTAAATTGCTCACCCTGTGTTTCCAGTCCTGTGTTTCTGACCACCTCCTGGGTATCCTTTCTCTGCTGATCTGTGCCGAGAGGCAGAGTAAGACCAGAGTTCTCCCCCGGTCTTTTTGGTTATCACACCAGCTGTGTGATGCTGAATGAGCTGCATAGGCGTCTGAAACACAGTCCCCTTGTCTGTAAAGTAGGGATTACTGTGCCTCCTGTGCAGGCATACCCCATAGGGTAACAGAGTGAGTCAAACGAGTTCACTCAAACATACACACTGAGGAAACTGTCAAACCCTCTACAGGCCAGGCGCGGCTCAGCCTGTAATCTCAGCACTTTGGGAGGCCAAGGTAGTAGGATCATTTAAGCCCATATGTTCAAAACAAGCCTGGGCAACATAGGGAGACACCGTCTCTACAAAAAATAAAATTTATCCAGTCATGGTGGCGTGCACCTGTGGTCCCAGCTACTTGGGAGCCTGAGGTGGGAGGATTGCTTGAGCCTGGGAAGTAAAGACTGCAATGAGCTGTGGTTGCGCCACTGCACTCCAGCCTGGGTGACAGAGCGAGACCCTGTCTCAAACAAAATGTAACAAAACAAAACAAACCCTCTACAAATATATATTAGTACTTGCCAAACTGAACTAATTATCTTCCCTGCCAAAGGGTTATCCTTATTGGCCACCTAGTGTTTTTTAGTTGGGGCTTCTCAATATGAAATCCCTAGAGCTATCTTTAATTAGTGCCTTTCCTTTTTTGCTTCCTTCCTTTACTCTCACCAAGACTACATTTTCCCCTTTTGGGTTTGCCTTTCTTGTTTTATTCGAGTGAACTACTTACCCACCCTCCCAACCCTGCACCCCCCGACACACAGACACACACACACACTCCTTTTTGCTGCTTTGTAGTCACTCACTCACCCCTTTTGTAGGCGGGATGTCATACACCCCTTGAGGTTTTATCTCTCCCACTGGAACTGAAAACACAGGGCCTTTTGCTGATGAGGGAGGGATGTCGTATACCTGAAGAGAAACCCGTGAGTTACCCAGAATGGAAATGTCTTATACTTGGTCATTTTTTATGCTCCTAAGCACTTAATTATGGATTTATTTACCAGGTTATGTACAAGCTTGATCTTTGGCAGTGCTCCATGTTATAACAGATTTATTGCCTTTTTTTTTAATACATTTTATGGTTTTTAACTTACATTTAATATAAAAATGATTTTGGCCAGGCACGGTGGCTCACGCCTGTAATCCCAGCACTTTGGGAGGCTGAGGTGGGCAGATCACAAGGTCAAGAAATCGAGACCATCCTGGCCAACATGGTAAAACCCCATCTCTACTAAAAATACAAAAATTAGCTGGGTGTGGTGGTGCACACCTGTAGTCCCAGCTACTTGGGAGGCTGAGACAGGAGAATCGCCTGAACCCGGGAGGCAGAGGTTGCAGTGAGCTGAGATCGTGCCACTGCACTCCCAGCCTGGTGACAGAACAAGACTCTGTCTCAAAAAAAAAAAAAAAAAAAAAAAAAAAGATCTTATGTGAAATATCTACGCTGTCTGTACTTTAAAGTGTAGTTTAAATTTTCTACTTTCCAGCTGGGGGCCGTGGCTCACACCTGTAATCCCAGCACTTTGGAAGGCCGAGGTGGGCAGACCACTTGCAGTTAGGAGTTCAAAACCAGCCTGGCCACCATGGCAAAAGCCTGTCCCTACAAAATACAAAAATTAGTCAGGTATGGTGGTGTGTGTGCCTGTAGTCCCAGCTACTTGGGAAGCTGAGGCAGGGGCAGGAGAGTTGCTTGAGCCTGGGAGGTGGAGGTTGCAGTGAGCTGAGATAGAGCCACTGCACTCCAGCCTGGGCAACAAAGTGAGATTCTGTCTTAAAAAAAAAAAAAAGAAAAAAGAAAAATCTACTTTCTGAAGCAAAATTGTAGAAGAACATAAGCTCTCTTGGGTGAAATACTAGGATTTCCTGATAAAGCAAATCCAGAAAACATAATTTAAATAGCATTGGCTAAAGTGGCTACTGGGTAGACAACCTAAACAAAGCTTCATATGACATATATTAATGCATAATTTGTGAACTCCCTTTTCTCTACAGCCCTGAAGGAATGCTACCCTTAGAAGCGCTTCTCCTCTTGTGACCATGTTCTGGTACGCACCCCTTGAGTGGTATGAGAAGGAGGGATATCATAGACGTCCTTTTGGTATCTGGATGGGTACTCGTATACGTAGCCATGGCCTGTCCTCACGGGGGTTATCACCTGTGGGAGAGAAGGCACAGAGGTGTAAATTTCCAAGCCTGAGTCCTTGAATCTCCTTGCCTCCTAACTAAGCACTCATCCCTCAACTCTCCCTCATAAAAAGATAGAAAGAAACCAAAGAAAGAAGACATAACAGGAAGGAGACAAGTAGACACCACGTTAGTAAACTTTTTTTTTTTTTTTTGAAATGGAGTTTTGCTCTTGCTCCCCAGGCTGGAGTACAGTGGCACAATCTCAGCTTACAGCAACCTCTGCCTCCCGGGTTCAAGTGATTTTCCTGCCTCAGCCTCCTGAGTAGTTGAGATTACAGGTGCACGCCACCATGCCCAGCTAATTTTTTGTATTTTTAGTAGAGACAGGGTTTCATCATGTTGGCTGGTCTCAAACTCCTGACCTCAGGTGATCCACCCACCTCAGCCCCCAAAAGTGCAGGGATTACAGGTGTGAGCCACTGCATCTGGCCCAGGTTAGTAAACTTTTAAATCCCTCTTGAATCCCAATGAGAAAAAAAATCCCTAAAATATCTCTATCACCCTTAATTGTGATCATCTCAAAGTTCATCAGATAGAGTTGATGCACTGCAAGCATATTTCTGAAATATACTTTAAGGGATACTTGTGTGTAACTTATGAAAGTCCTAGAGGAGCATTTTGCATCTAAAGTACCGCATACTGAAATTTGCTTTAAGGCTCTGAAACAATTTGTAAAATGAATAATGCAAATAGAGTTTAGCCACTTAAAATTCCTCTCATGCCTTCCTCAGTATGCCTCTTCATTGGACATTATTATGATGATTATAACTGTAATTCCACAGGTCACCAGAGTACTTTTACAAAGCCAATGCTCAAACTGTGCTGTCCTTAGAAACCTCTGGGAGCTTTCATTCTAACGTATCAAACAAACAAAATACTGAGTCAGGGAGGCACCAGGAACAGAATTCAGGTCTCCTGACCTCTGGTCTCTAATCATTTTCCCATTTCCACCAGGAAAGAAAACATCCCCAACAGTACCTACGTCAAGGGATATCAGAAGTCAAATAGCGTTCATCACGATGCTGGCATCTGGAACCAGTGCCAATAAAATGAATCTTACCTAGCAGCCTCCTGTTTTCATATCTACATACTTCATTGGTGTGCTAAGCACCAGCAAAAAATTATTTGAACTTAACTCATTTTGAAATATATGTAATCGTCCAAGGGCTTCTAAATGCCCAGGGTCTTGTTTCTGCCTAACCCCCACCCTTTGAGTCATTGAGTGCCCATCTCAAGCGTTGCCCACGACATCTTTGAGGAGAACAGACATTGCAAATGAGGAAGAGTTGGTTGTTCCCTAAGAAACCGTCAACTTTTATCCTTTCTCTGAAGTGAAAACTCTGGCGTCAGGCTGCCTACAGAACTATGTGAAAAATGCTCCACGTCCATCTTATGCTGAAATGGGTGGAACTCAGCCAAATGCACCAATGCCTTCTCCCCAGGCGCTCTCAAAATGCCTGAGTTCAATTTGGCTTTTAATCCCTAGTGCTTACAACTGATTGTTTCTTGCAACGAAGTAAAAGAGATTAGTATGCACTCAAAATTTCCATCAAGTCTCTCCACTGTCTTGGGTTTAAAAAAGGAACCTATTGCTTTGAGGTCTGTTGGCATGGAGCATACGGAACCACTTTATAGAATGGCCACTGTATTGTGCATAGCAAACCTTCCTTTTCAAAGCAGGATGCCCTTTGCTAAAGAAAAACACAATGTGTTCCTAATGCCCTTATATGATTGTTTTTTTTTTTTTACTCGCTATTGTCCAGGAGAGAAATGAAGATCTCCCCTTAGTCTATTTCATCAGCCCCTCTACTTAGAGCGCTGTCTTGGCTTTATCATAGCACCTGCTCATAGTGCAGCTTTTGTTCAGCTTAAAAGTTTCCAAGAGTGGATTTTATCCAAGGTTGCCAACTTAGCAATAATGCTAATGGAAAACCAAGGCTAAGTCCAGCTTAACTGTTCATCTTTCGTTTAAAAAACAGAAGCGGGCATGTCGGGCGCAGTGGCTCATGCCTGTAATCCCAGCACTTTGGGAGGCCAAGGCGGGAGAATCACCTAAGGTCAGGAGTTGGAGACCAGCCTGGCCAACATGGTGAAACTCCGTCTTTACTAAAAATATAAAATTAGCCGGGTGTGGTGACATGTGCCTGTAATCCCAGCTACTCGGGAGGCTGAGGCAGGAGAATCACTTGAATTCGAGAGGCGGAGGTTGCAGTGGGCTGAGATCTTGCCACTGCACTCCAGCCTAGGCAAAAAGAGTGAAACTCCGTCTCAAAAAACAAACAAACAATCAAACAAACAGGCTGGGCGTGGTGGCTCACGCTTGTAATCCCAGCGCTTTGGGAGGGCAAGGATCGCGGATCACGAGGTCAGGAGATCGAGACCATCCTGGCTAACACAGTGAAACCCCATCTCTACTAAAAATACACAAAATTAGCCAGGTGTGGTGGTGGGCGCCTGTAGTCCCAGCTACTTGGGAGGCTGAGGCAGGAGAATGGCGTGAACCTGGGAGGAGGAGCTTGCAGTGAGCCAAGATCGTTCCACTGCACTCCAGCCTGGGTGACAGAGAGAGACTCTGTCTCAAAACAAAACAAAACAAACAAACAAACAAAAAACCCAGAAGGGGATTGGGAGCTAGAGTGGGTGGCGTTGGTGTCTGAAAATAGCACTAGGTGACATATAAACACATAGCACGACCTCAGAAAAGGAAGGCAGGTTCACCGCTAAAGTGTTTCCTTGCCTTTGTGGATCTTCCCTGGCAGAAAGCGCTAATGCTTCCCGGTATTTAACATTTCACTTCCTGACAAATGTCACAGAACCCCAACTTGCTCTCTCTTTCTCATTTAGAGGATGCCTGTGGTCTTCTGGTTTTTTAAAACTCTGCATTCCAAACCAGTCATTTTCCTTGTTTATGCATTCAAAGAAACAGATGGTGAAAACCACAGGGGGGAAACGCCAACCGAATACAGCACCCCCCGCCCGCCACCACCGATTCCAGCCTTCCTGACATTACCATCTAATTCACGTTGGTCCACAAATGGCATTTAAATGGGACCAGGATGCAAAATGCTGGTCCCATTTAAATGCCAAGTCCAGTGCAGCAATCCGCATTGTGACGTGTGGAAGATCAGGGAGCTCGAAGTCTTCTACTTTTGGACATTCTCTGCCTCGACCTGTTGCTTGGGTCACTTTCATGCCAATTGTGTGTCCTCTCCTCGGAGGAAAAGTGCTGACTGAGCTGTACCTTACAAAGTCTCCAGTTTTGTGGTTCATTAAGGCTTTTTCTTGCTGCGTGACATAAGTACACAAAAACCTTCCAACGATCTCTCCTCATTCCACCTCCCAGAACTGCTGAATTTCAGCTGAAGACGCACACCAAGGTCTGGTTAAGGGGACCTCAAGTTTGGAAGAATTCTCCTAGGCATTTGTTCGGTGAGGCATTAAAGGAATTGCTACACAAAGGACATTTTTAAACTAATTTTCTCAATGAAATCAAGTCAGGTTTTTCATTTCCTTTCCCCCTCTGTTTGCTTTTTTTTTTTTCTACATTCCTTTCATTCTGTGCATTTATTTATAGTTACAAAGGCTTAGCCTTTGGAATTACCAAACTGACCTCTTAATTCATTAGTGTTGCCAGGAAGGGGGCTGAATTGTGAGGTCTCCTGGGGCTCTATGATCCAATGCTACTGCAACTGCTTTCGTGATTACCCGGCACAGGATTTGCACTTTCCATATGTGGATTTTCTGTCCCTAGGAGGAATCCAACCTTTCTCAGATGTTAGTATACCATTCTCAGTAACTAACGGGAGGGTCCAAGACAGAGACTTTGAGAAGAGCTATGAAGCCGAGAAGGGCAGATTCTTCCATTTAGAAAAGGAAGAATCCATTTAATACATCTCCAAGTCTGGGTCCTGGCAGGATAGGATCAAAAGCCCAAAGACTGGCGTTATGTTAGTTCTCTAATTAATCTGCTTACATAAAAACAAGGAAACAAACTCGAATTGCCCCACCCCACACTTTGATGGTGTTTGATCCACACTGTTTTGAGTCTCAGATCCTGGCGGCATGAGTTTCTGGAGATGCTTTTGACACTTTCATGCCTCATAATTTTGAAAGCCATGTATGCTGAAATTTTAAAGAGGAGGGTCTGTGTTTGGATAGCAGAGAGAGATAGGGAGGTCTGAGAACCAGCATGATGACAGTCAGCAAGTTGGATGAGAGGCCCTTGGGACTCTTTCTGATGTTTCTGCATCTGTGTTCCCTGAGCTGGTACCCATAGCAGAGCAAGGGTCCTATACTCAGATGCTCACGGACCGAGCAAGCAGGGTGTAGGGAAGAAACAAGCCAGGCTTTGGTGCCGGGGAGACAGAACTCCTTCTACCGAAAGAGGGAAGACATTGCGCCCTGTGTTGCCAGATCTTTCACGTTTTCAGAAGCCAGAAATTTGGAATTTTATGTGAAACCTGGTTTTCAAAATTGACTTAAATTTTAAAAACAGTGTCTTGGCCAAACTAAACGCGTCTTTGGCCTCCGGGCTGCCAGTCTTTGCCTTCATCTGTGTATTTTTGCCCTCCTTCCTCTTGGAAATCTTCTGAAGGCAGGGCCCCCAGGCTCTGCACCAACTCCCTCCCTCGGCGAGAACTGAGCTGTCCATTTCCACAGATGCCCTGCACGCCCATACCTCTGTGCCTTCATCCATGCCATGTCCTTGTCTGAGATGCTCTTCTTTCTTTCCTCATATTCAAACTTTAATTGATTTTCAAGGCCCGGCTGAATGCCTTTCCCCCACCAAGCCCTTCCCAAACAGATAATATGTCTCTATCCTTGGAACTCCCTGAGCCAGTGATCCACACATCTCTGACAGCACTTATCACTTGTGGTTTGACGGTCTTGATGCATCTCATCTCTTCTTCCAGCATTTTAAAGTCAGAGATCATTCCCTCTTCATTTAAATATAAACCACAGGGCCTAGTACAGTGCCTAGCAGAGTAGGTCTTGCATAATCTATTGAGTGATACATTAATCAACTAAAGGAAAACTGAAGGCTATTAAGCAAGATGGCGTGAGGTCTGCCACTACAGAATAAGCTTGGTTTCCAGGTAAGCCAGCTCTGGGTTAAGTAGAACCCATGGGATATGGGGCAGAACAGTGCCCTATCAGCCATGCATGGTAGTGTTGGGCAAGAGAGGGATCCAAGAAGGCAAGGGAATGTTAGGTGAAGTTGAGAAATCAGAAACTGTAGAAGAATGCACCCCAAGTTGGGTGAAGCCACTATTGGCAGGCAAGGAGGGCTGCTGGATGGTTTCCTTTTCCCCAGTTGAGCTCGTATGTGACATGAACACCTGGGTTCTTCTTAACCACAAGCCAGAAACATGTGGGGGAGTGTTTTGGAAAAGGGAAACCAAAACAAACCCTGCTTTTTACCTCAACATCAGAAGGAACATACGATTGCTTTAGTTCTGGGGATGTGTGATAGGCTCGTTTATGAGAAGCTGTGTGCCAGAGGCCATGGCCCCACTGGGTCTTTTTCTGTTGCTTATTGGAAGAATTAGGTCTGAAGAGGGAAGTAATTGACAAACAGAAGCTGGACTCAGGCAGAGCTGGATCTAAATCCCGGTTCTACCACTCACAAGCTATGAGAACAAAGGTTCCATTCTAAGCCTGTTTTCTCATAGGTAAAATGGAAATTATACTTCCCTCATAGGCTATATGAGTATTAAATGAGATCAAGTGCATAAAGTACCTGGCATAAAGCCATAATAAGCCTTAGCTATTGTTATTGTTATTGTAATTGTCACCTAGGCTATATAGATTTTACCTTTTGACTTTGACTTCCAGAAATCATGGACTAGGTAATTGAGATTAACCATCTTGCTGAAGACAACTTAAAAAAATGAAGAAAAGCTAGGAAAGATCTTTTTTTTTTTTTTTTTTTTTTTTTTTTTTTTTTTTTTTTTGAGACAGAGTCTTACTCTGTCGCCCAGGCTGGAGTGCAGTGGTGAGATCTCGGCTCACCGCAAGCTCCGCCTCCTGAGTTCACGCCATTCTCCTGCCTCAGCCTTCCGAGTAGCTGGGACTACAGGCACCCGCCCACTGCGCCCGCCACCGTGCCCAGCTAATTTTTTGTATTTTTAGTAGAGACGGGGTTTTACCGTGTTAGCCAGGACGATCTCGATCTCCTGACCTCGTGATCCGCCCGCCTCGGCCTCCGAAAGTGCTGGGATTACAGGCGTGAGCCACTGCGCCCAGCCGAAAAGATCTTCTTAATAGTGTCAAGAGTTCAAGGATAATAAAGAATTACTAGGTCAAACTTTGGGAGAAGAGTTAATAGAGGTGAGATTGCTTTTCAAGCCTGGGGGCATTTGCTATTTTTTGCTGATCTGAAACTGGTGCCTGGGAGGCTGTGCTGGGTTTTCTACAGCTTCTTTGGGTAAGGGGGAACATTGGACTATAGGGCTCACCAAGGCAGGGACCCCAAACCACCCCCGACTTTGGGTTGGAACCCTAAGGACTGTATCCAAAATAAGGATTAACTGGAAGTAAACCCACCCTTGCACAGGCTGAAGACATCAGGGTTGCCAGAACAGCTCAAAGCATGGAATCAGATGTATGCTTGCCTATGAGGCTGGCAGAAGGAAACAAAATTCTCTCTGGAGGCAGAGAACATCTTTATAGGCTTCACATTATTTCTACAAATGTACTGAAAATACAATGTCCCACATACAATCAAAGATAAACAGGAATTCAGGGGACAAGACAACAGGAACAAGACAAGCAACAGTCAATTCTTGCTTTCTAATGTGATAAGAATGTTATGTATGTCTTAGTAATCACAGATCTCAAGGCTGTTTCCTTTCAAAATGTTTTAGGATCAAATCATGGGAGAAATGAAGATTTAATCATTCCTAAATTTAAGTCAGATAGAAAGAAATCAATCTTTAGGAATGTATAGTGCTCAAAATGAGATCTACGAGGCAGTGAGAATTTCAAACCAAAGCAGCAAATGGTAAGAGACAGTGGTCCTTGATGATCATCTGTAGAGTTCTTGGGGTTACTGTTTTCTGCTGTTCGTATCAGTATTGGCATTATTACGGTTATCACCAGAGCAGCTCAAGACACGCCAATGGGAAACCCCAGGAGAAAATGTGTTTTTCCAAGTCTAGGAGATGAAGATATTTATCCAAGAGAAAGACGGCAAGCCTCCAAACTCAGGACACTTTATTAAAATGCTCATCAGATGAGATCTTTTCAGTGGAGGTTCACAAGCTGGTTTGTTTAGAGGCTCTCACTAAGAAATAGGACACTTGCCCATCTCTCTGGAACACCTAGAGACAAAGCATTTTCTGTCAAGACAAGTTCTGCTCACATTGTGTCACTTGTTCAAGGTCTCAGCAAGTCTCCTTGGGGGCACTTCTTTCCTTGGGCATCCACTTCACCTCCTTAATGCAGAGCTGGCTAGGTGCCTGGGATGGGGCAGAGCAGCGGCAGCAGAGGCCATGTGGTCAGAACTTCAACTTCTCAGCTGCATGCTGCTAGCTCAATGGAGCACTAAGGGAAGCGGGAAGGGAGCAGACGGCTGCCACTCACAAAGGCCAATCCCCCTCCCCACAGCAAGCCTCATATCCATCATGTTTTGCTATGTTTCCTTCTGATGCCAGCCCTGTGGGTCACCCACCCACCTACTTATCATGACTTCTCATCTCTCCCCTCACAACACTGTCTTGTTTTGACTACTTCCCTCCTTCCATGTGCTTCCAGCAACCCTAAGTAAGAACAAAGCAGTAAAAAAACGAAGCAGAAAAATCCTACTCTTTGAAAGGAAGAGTTGGGTAGAGTGGATGGGAGACAGAGAGATGGGATGGAGAGGAGACTGGGTAACTTCACTAGTTAGTCATGCTCTAGTGACTTATTATTATTTATACTTCTACATTATCTATCTATCTATGTCTATCTTTGTATGCATCAAAATTTTAAAAATTACAAATATATATATATTTTGTCATTTTAACAAGATTTTAAAAGATAATAAGAAATATTACTTGAAAGGTTTTCTTTTAAGAGAATGATGGGACACAGACCTGTTCTAGATTCTATGTCCCGTGATTCCTCTGAGTCTAAGTCTCTACAATCCAAAGCAACATTACAAATAGCCTGAATTGTGCAATCCTTTGCCTCCAATATAGAGATAGTGACTTGATTATTGACCAGTGGAGTTTACCCATGAATTTAGTAGAGTACTAATGTGTGGAGTCAGCTTCTTGTGTCCTTCCCTAATGCCTAGTCAGGAGCTAGGTAACCCAGGATGTGCTCAGGAAATAACAATGGGTAATTGATGAGAAGTTAAAAAGTGTCCCCGTGCTGTAATGATTACAGATTTATAACCTCACCATTCATAGTACCTACGATTCTCTGAATTTAAAAGTAGGTTTTACTAAGTAACAGCCATGTATTTGCACTTTTCTTGGCATATGTGGGAAGTAAAATTTGACTGCTTCCTGTCTATCTCTAATTCCTCCCCAGCCCCTGATTTATTTATATTATCTCTCTTTGCGTTTCATGAATTAACAAGAGTGTTTAGCTTTCCAAAACTGCCTGTTGGAAAGGGCTTCTTTCACTTAAATGCCCTTGAAAAGCATTAACAGAGCTACCACAGTATTTATTAGACTTTATAATAACCTCTTTGTCTTAAATGAACTATTTGATCCCTTCCCTTTAAAGAAAACCTTAGGAAAAGAAACATTACCATTATCACTGCCTGCCCATTAGAACTGGGATCCAATTTTCAGAAACTGTAAAGCTACAGAGGTTTGCCTGCTTAAAATCCAAGAGTACTAGTTGCTTCTCTATGACCAGAAGAAAAGCCACATGTTGCCTACCCTGGATTTATTAATTCTCTGTAAATTCATTCTGCCCAGCTTGGGTGTAGCAGTGAGCTCATTTATTTACTTGCATAGCAACAATATAATGAAAACTGAGTCTGGCCTTAAAAATACACCCTCGTAAGCCATGTCCAAGGTTAACTCTTCCAAATGCTTCTCTGGTGCTCATGAAGTTTTTTCCCCATGTATTTTTGAAGGTGAATTACTTTCTTTCAAAGTCGTTCTGATGCCTGATTTTATGCCAGAACTAAACCTTTTGCTAGCCACATCTAAATCACAGCCAGCTTCTTTCCCCAGTGAGGAAAAAGTCACAAGTGGAAGCTCAGAAGTGGAGCAGTGGTGCTCCTGGGTCACTTTCATTTGACACAGCGTTGGGCAGCAAACCCGCTCAATGGAAACAGTGCCCCTATTGTTAAGCCCCTAGCATGTCCCCCCTGCTGCTTTCAGGAAGCTCTTTGTGTAGCCAGTGCTAAAGCAATATTTAGTTATAGAGTGACCAAGCACCAGCGAGCAGCTAGAAGCATTTAACATGAAAGAACACGACGGGAAATGACGTCTGGGTTTCACGAGTGGTTGAGGTCTTTCTCAGAACAATGCCAAATACAAGCCTGTGACAAGTTGGATACAGCAAAGCCATTTTTTTTCTGTCTCATGGACTGAAATGTTCTTTGAAAGAAAACTATAAAAAAGCACAAGTATTGTGGCTCTTTTGATGTCCAAATAAATTCAACAGGACTCTGAGCGCTACATCTAGATTGGGAAATGGATTTTAGAGAGATGCCCACAGACTGCCCTAAGGGGAAAGGGACTGTGAAGAGGAGGTGAGAGATGAGAATTTTGGGACCCAAATGCCGATTGGTATCATTTCTTCCTAAAGAGGAGAACGCTCAGGTTTAGTTGGAAGAAGGGATGCAGTGGCTGATGGGGCAAACCACTCACAAGGCAGAACTCGGTGCCAGCTCTGAAGGTGGTTGTCGTGTCCAGAGACAACAGGCCTAAAACGTCTGCAAAATCCAAGAGGATTACATAGGGGAAAATGGGCAGAAAACAATGAGTTCCAGGATGAAGTGCTTTCTTAGCTCTTGGTAACAAAACAGGGATGAGAGTGCTCCTTAATGGGGAACTCTGGAAGTTTTTTTGGGTACAGGACCCAGGTCTGTCAAACACTGATTCTCACTGGCTCAGCACACTCCAGTCCCTGCCTCCTTGTGTCCCTGCCTGCTCCTGCTGTCTTTTGGCATAGCTCTGTCTTCCAAAGGGCACTGTGGTTCTGGATGGGATGGTGGGCTGGATCCTAAAGGAAGAGTAGGAAAGATTTGCAAAAACTTAAGGGTCAAGTTGAAATTTATAATCAATGCTTGAGTATCTTTTCTTTAAAAAAAAAAAAACTCTTGATGTCAGGCCGTTTTTATTAAACTGTTAAAGTGATTCTGAGAAAGAATCAGATAAGGATATCTGGATCATAAAATTTTAGCAAAGATCATTAGAGATAATCTAGCATCACTTGCCATTTCACAGTTGAGGGAACTAAAGTGGAGTTAGTTACTCAGGCTATTAATGACAAAGAAGTGAAGGAGACCCTTGGTTAGCTGGGCCAGCAGTGCAGCGGTATACGTTTCTCAATGCCCTGCGGCCTACGCTAGCAATACATGTTAGACATTTTCCAGAAATTTACTACTTTTATAATTTCACAAGTAAATACTCTCAAAGAAAGTTACTTCCTTATATGAGAGCCACAACTTGAAAGCTGGGTAACTTGTGTTTTGGGAGGTGCCCCCACCTGGTTAAATGAAGTTACCCATTTGAAGGAATTTGAAGTCATTTGGAAAGACAGTCTTAGGCCAGGCGTGGTGGCTCACGCCTATAATCCCAGCACTTTGGGAGGCCGAGGTGGGCAGATCACGAGGTCAGGAGTTTGAGACCAGCCTTGCCAACGTAGTGAAACTTTGTCTCTACTAAAAATACAAAAATTAGCCAGGCATGGTAGTGCGCACCCATAGTCCCAGCTACTCGGGAGGCTAAGGCAGGAGAATCACTTGAACCCAGGAGGCGGAGGTTGTGGTGAGCCGAGATTGTGCCACTGCACTCCAGCCTGGTCAACAGAGGGAGGGTCCGTCTCAAAAAAAAAAAAAAAAAAGAAAGAAAGAAAGAAAAGAAAAGGAAAGAAAAGACTTTTCTGTGTGGCAGAGAAAGCCAACATAGCAACATTCTCAGTGGTACTGGAGTCTAGACATCACCCTACTGACCTGGTCAGGACTCCTGGATCAGCCCACTCTGAAACTGCCCACTACAGCTAGGTGGGGGGAACTTCCAAGCTCCTTAATTCAGATTCCCTCAGTATTGAGGCTACTCCCTGGACCTGAGGTGGGAGCCCTGGGCAGCAACTTTAATTCTTCCTGGCCAACAGGGTATGATTTAGCGCCCAAATTGCTAATGAGGTGTCCAAATATGCCTTCTTCTTTAAGGGCTTGGCAATATCATCCTTCAGCCGGGATGTAAAAATCATTAGCATTGGAGTCAGACAGACGTGGGCTCAAATATCAATCCTGCCTCTCACTGGAGGCAGCAAGTTAACTTCAGCAAGTGAATTTCCTTCTCAGACCTCAGTTCCCTCCTCTGAACAGCAAATGCTGTGAGGTGCACCTCACGAGGCTGTGGAGAGGATCAGGTGGTAGTACCTCTATGGGATCCCTAACATGGAGCCAAGGCTCAAGGCGCCTTGGGGTCACCCCCACTTTAGTTCTAACACTATCTTGCAAAATGAGACGGAAGCATGGGGTAATGACACCAGTGAAGGCTGCACATTCAATTGGTAGTGACTTTGAAAACAAAAACTATTCCAATAAATAACTGGTTTAAGTGTGCCATGCTTTAAGAAAACCAAGTATTACAAAAATTAATCAAATAAATCAGAGGCGATTGTGGCATTGCTAAAGGCTTCTTTGCTTCAAAAAACTGATATACTGTAGGATCCCTTTAAAGAGAGGACTCCTTGGCACTCTTCAAATGTTACTGGAGTTACATCCTACTTTTTTTTTTTTTTGAGACAGAGTTTTGCTCTTGTTGCCCAGGCTGGAGTGCAATGGCGTGATCTCAGCTCACTGCAACCTCTGCCTCCCAGGTACAAGCGATTCTCCTGTCTCAGCCTCCGAAGTAACTCGGATTAACAGGCATGCACCACCATGCCTGGCTAATTTTTTTGTATTTAGTGGAGACGGGGTTTCATGGTATCAGTCAGACTGGTTGCAAACTCCTGACCTCAGGTGATCTACCCACTTCGGCCTTCCAAAGTGCTGGAATTACAGGCATGCGCCACTGCGCCCGACCTACATCCGACTTTTGAGGAACACACATTGTCCTATGTGAGTGGCACTGACACACTTTAAACAGGAGCAGCACATCTCTCTAGAAGTTATCTTGACAACGTTTAAGGCACAGCTAGTTAGAATGAAGTGCTTTTGATTGCTGACAGTTTCTAGTTCTGCATTTTGCACAATGTAGTCAAGCAAGTCTTTTTTTAAAGATTTGTACAACCAGGCCGGGCGTGATGGCTCATGTCTGTAATCCCAGCACTTTGGGAGGCCGAGGTGGGCAGATCACCTGAGATCAGGAGTTTGAGACCAGCCTGACCAATATGATGAAACCCCGTCTCTACTAAAAATACAAAAATTAGCCGGGCAAGGTGGTGGGCACCTGTAATCCCAGCTACTTGGGAGGCGGAGACAGGAGAATCGCTTGAACCTGGGAGGCGGAGGTTGCAGTGAGCCAAGATTGCGCCATTGCATTCCAGCCTGGACAACAAGAGTGAAACTCCATCTCAAAAATAAAAAAAAAGATGTGTTCAACGAATATTGTTTATCATGAAATTAAATAAATAAATTTATTCTGTTTTCTCTCTCTCACAGTGTTCTCCTACTTAGCCAGACATCATATTAAAGCAGTCTCTTACCTCTTCACTCTGATAAGCACAGTCATTTAGCATGAAATCATTGAAAAAGGAGGGTTAACCTCTGTTTGCTTTGGTGTGGGTTTATAAGAAGTTACTAATGCACTCTTAGAAATATGCATTATCTATAAAATTTAGAACGAAGTGCAACTGAGTTTGAAGGCTTTGGCACTGGCCAAACAAAAAGGACCTTTGTTAATTTTTAAGGAGGGGTGTTAGAGTTTGCTCATTGCTTTGGCTCGGGTGACTTGTCTGAGAAAAGATAACTTCTCATTTTCAAAGTGAGCTCATAAAGTCCTGCCCTTCAAGAGCTGAATGACCTCCAGTTTTGTGTAATATTAAAATGTATCTTGAAACTTCAGGGGTGACATTTTAGATGGCAAGTACAGTTCTCTGCATAGCCCCAAAACCCATGTATCGAGGCAAACAATTCATATACATTAGGATTATCTTTATGTAGAAATGTACAATTCTGGAACATAGTTGTACTTTATTGATTTATAAATGAGGAAACCGAAGTACCCTCTGCCCTAGGAGTATTTTTTGGGTGTGTACGTATTTTGTGTGTGTATAGGCAAGGAACAGGAGAAAGTGAGGTGAAGTCAGAATTTAACTTTTCTGGAAGCTTTCATTTCCTCTAAACCTATTTTTTGCTTGTTGTTAGACAAGTCATGCTGCTAATATATAGCACTTAGTTGGCTAGTATCTGAGTGTCGCTCTGGGCAACCAGATTGCACAATGCCTCAAATTCCAATAAGGGAAGTCCTTGTTCCTTAGCCAACAGCTTATGGGTGTCTGTGTGTGTGTATGTGTATGTGTATGTACGTGTATGTGTGTAATTTGTGATGACTCAGTGTCTAGGAAGGTACAAACATTGTAGCTAATCTATTTCTGTTTCTTACATTACCTTTCAGGAATGGGCCTGGAAGACCTGGCTAAAACCTTTGAATCATTTCCTGCCAACATTTGGCCGTGACCCATTTTGGAAGGTAGAAAATGGTCCTTAAAGATGATGTCATAGGATCTTGGTAAATCTGAATATTACTTCAGTTTTCCAAGTGCCACCTCAAAGCAATACTTACCCCAGTCCAGACCATCACACACATTGCAATGGCAGACCATTCCATTTTTAAGAAGCCCTTGAGATCAATGGAATATACAACACATTCTGGGACCATAGGGAAGGGAGAAACTGCTGGGTTGCAGAGAGGAAGCTTCATGAGGGGGATGAACCTTGGAGTGGGTTTTAAAGAATGGATAGGAGTTCACAGGGAAAATAGAAGGGAAAGGCATTCTAGGTAAATCATAACATATGCAAAGGAAGTTCTGCCCCTCAGTAGAAAAAGTTAGGCCAGGCGCAGTGGCTCATGCCTATTATCCCAGCACTTTGGGAACCTGAAGCGGGCATATCACCTGAGGCCAGGAGTTCAAGACCAGCCTGGCCAACATGGCAAAACCCCGTCTCTACTAAAAGCACAAAAATTAGCCAGGCTTGGTAGCGCATGCCTATAGTCCCAGCTACTGGGCAGGCTGAGGAATGAGAATCGCTTGAACCCAGGAGCCAGAAGTTGCAGTGAGCCGAGATGGCACCACCGCACTTCAGCATGGGTGACAGAGCGAGACCCTGACTCAAAAAAAAAAAAAAAAAGCCTAGTTTTCCTCCTTAGGTGACCACAGAGGAGTTAACTAATCTTGTCTAAATTGGGCAAAATGCACAGAAGTTAAACTCTCAGATAAGCCCTTCTTTACATCACTCATGCTTTGCATCAAGGTGCTCATTGATTGTATATGAATAGTTACCCTTACAGGACACAGGCAGTGACATTCTGGAAGGTCCTTCAGCGAGGGAAATGACTGTATATAATCTGACACCTCTCATACCAGATGGTAATGAGCTGAACCATGGGATTCGAGCAGCAGCGTGTGAGGGTGGATGTGTGATAAGATCAGAACCACCTTTCAGTTAATTAAAGGTTAACTCTCATTTAACACTTTGATTCTTGCTTCCACCTGTTCATTGGTTCACTGGGCTGCTATCTGTGGGCTGATGCTCTACCAAGTGCTCAGCCTACAGCAGTCAGGAGGCAGCCATGGCCCCTGTGCTGATGGAGCTTGTAATTTAGCCCCAAACTGATCTTCAGAAAGAGGTACAACAAATAGTTCCAGCAGTTAGAATAAAAGCGACACATCCAAAGAAAAATCAGAGAAGCACATATAATTTCCCATGCAGATCAACTGTGAAATGGATGAACTCAGGTAGCAATTTCACTGATCTTTGAAGCAGAGAAATGAGACTATTTTAGATCTTTTTAGGCTTTTGGTTTTGAACATTTGTAGATTTCATTTACCCCAAACCATAATCCCATATTAAGTAGAATTTTTGCTGTTAAAAATTGAAAACTTTTTTTCTTCCTTTATAATTCAGTTTTTCAAATTATTCGACTATGAGTAACTTATTTAATTTAGGATTGCCTGTGGGTTCTTGGCAACCATGATGCATATTTAGAAATCTTTGCAAAGTGAGAAAAATATAACCTACATACTGTTTTCTAATATGATGAAATAGTTATAAGCCCTAAATAAAACAATTAATGGGGCAGACATGATATGGTTTCCTAGACATTGACCTAAATGTTTATTAATTTCTATTTTGCAGTTTTTGTGTTTCATATTTTGGAGTCAAAAGATCTTTTATTCAGCTCCCAAACATTCTTATAGGCACTGGGCATATTGCCTACAACGCCTAATGGATAAAACGGCCCTGTGCACAAAACACAGAGTGAAAAAGACCAATGAAATTAAGTAAAGGTGTCAGCGTATATGGTTTTCAGATAACTTGGAGAGTTTTTTTCCACCCTTTGCAGAATTCTTGCAGAACCAAAGAGAAAGCCACACACTCAAAAAACACAGCATATGTGTTAGCAAGAAAGCACTTGTACCTTCGGTGTGTCGTAAGAAACACAACAGGGCTGATGTAGTAGGAAATAAACTCTGAGAAAGGAAACGCAAGGTGAGAGGAATGCATTCTTTTAAGCCCCTGCCATGCTAAGCACTGAGCCAGGGACTTTCTATGTATGCTTCTGTTTAATTCTCACGACAGCCTATGAAGTAGTTAGTATCATTCCCATTAAACAGATGAAGAAACCAAGGCGTAGAGATGGTCAGTAACTTACCAAAGGATATACAGCTATGGAGAAACAACCCAGCATCAGCTGAACCCTGAAGGCCTTACTCTCTCCACAATTCTCACACTGTCTGCTTGTTTCCTAAAAGGGTGGGGATTTTATGACTATATTTCTTTCTCTAAATGCTGATTTAATATGTGATGAATGTCAGTTAGTGTGGAGGGGATGCAAGAGGGTGGGTAGAGGTTGGAGTTTCCAAGAGAGCAAAGTTGAAGTGATAGAAGGCAGAATTCACTGTCTTTTTTTTTTCCTTAAGTGATTCATTAGTAGAAAAAAGCAGTGCTGGGTAAAACTTCGGAAGCCCACAGTCTGTAGCAATATCAAGGGAATTTTGAACTATGGAAAGTCCCAAATCATAATCAGATTGGAGCATGTCCCAGCCCCTTCATGGTCCCTTTACAGTGTTTCTCAAAGTCTAGTCCTAGGCCACCACCCACAAAACTATGCAAGGAGCTCAATAAGATGCAGATTCCTGGGCCCCCAACCAGACCTACTGGATTAATTTCTCTGAGGGAAAGACCTGGGAATCTGCATTTAAACTCACTGCCCTACCTCTCTGGGTGATTCTATGCCCATTAACATTTTTAAACCCCACCCCGGTGGCTCAGAATAAGATTCCACTGCCTCCTTATTTTCTTATTCAAGAGCTTTTAAAGACCATAGCTTAAACTACCAGGCATATCTAGTTCTGGGCTCATATTATCTTACAGATGAAAAATTTAAAGAGAAAATGAGCAAATTGCTTTATTAAGCCAGTCAGTAAAACTACTAAAATGCAAACTCAGAAAAATGAAAAAGCCACGCCTGATCCCCAGTGTGCTGGGATTATCTCTTAGGGCCTAGGCTTAAGTCATTAGAATGATTCCCACCCACTGAGAATATCCTATACCCAGGAAGATGTTGACAGATGTTTTTTAAAGCAGTTGCAATTGCCTGGAAGGCTAAAATCACCTCCTAGCAGCTAAGCCATCTCCACTATGAAAGAAAGGAAGGAAGGGAGGAAGGGAGGGAGAGGGAAGGAGGGAGGGATGGGGGGAGAGAGAGAGAGAGAGAGAGAGAGATAGAAAAGAGAAGTGAGGAAGGGAGTGAAAAGAAAGGAAGAGGCAACCACACTCCCATGGATGTGAACCACTGCTCTGGGGTACATGGAGAGAGGCAGCCTAGAGACCCAGGATCAGGATACTGTGGAGAAGCCCTTGGTATTTGGCAGGGAAGGTGCCAGGGCCACCCTCTTGCCCTCCCCATCCTGGCCATGTCACTACCCCAGACCCTGACTGTGTGATGCTTTAGGCACGGCCTACTCTTCAGCCCTGGCTGCAACTCCTGGAAGGGCTGGCACAGGTCATTTTCAGAAGTTGATTTCCTCCTGCAGGACTCATCTACCTTTTGCTAAACAGAAAATGTTCTACTGAGTGTAGACTTAAAAAAAGCAAAACAAAACATGGAATGTGAGTGCCCGAGGGTCACCCCAGCACCCCAGCCCTTTGACATCAATCCAAGGGAAGATGAGTCCGTATCTCTGCCCTCTGGAAGGACGGGGAGCCATGGGGAAAGCCTGCAGGGCAGTCCCAGCAGATACAAGGGGAAGAAGTCTGAAGGCTTAGGCTTCTCTGACTTGGAGCTGAAAAGGTTGGGTCTAAAAAGGAAAACACGCTACCTTCCTGCCAAAGTCAACTGTGATGAAAGTTTAGAGCCCACCACCTCCCAGCCAAGCATTTCCTGCTCTGGCCTCCCCTTCTGCCTCACACTGGCTCAGATGTGGGAGAGCTATTTTTAAGGTGCAAACAACCAGGACTAAGAATGAGTGAAGTTACTTATTTATAGTTACACCTTTCAACTGTTATTTTTCCCCTCTGGAGATAGAAGCCAGGTTTTGTTTTCCCTTTGAATCTACAATTCCTAGGACAAGGAAGACTGAAAAGCCACAAGTCAGTTTATCACCTCTAGGCAGCATCGTTGTCGTGGGCAGTACAAGTCTAAAAGCTGTGCACCACCCTTGAGGAATCCCTCTTAACGAACCTACGCTCAGTTCATGCCACACGCGTGCTCTTGAGAAGTATTTTGTAAAACATACTTTTTATATCAAAGGTGATTTAAAAATGCATTAGTGCTTTGTTGTTTAAAGGAATCTACCCACACAGGGTCAGGGTCTGGGGTGGTGACATGGCCAGGATGGGGAGGGCAGGAGGGTGGCCCTGGCACCTCCCCAGCCAAACACTAAGGGCTCTCCACAGGGTCTCTAGGCTGCCTCTTTCCATGTACCCAAAAATGCATTAGTGCTTTCATTGTTTAAAGGAATCCTTTGTTTTTTCAACAGAGGATTCTAATACATCAAATAGATATTCCCTAATTTACAGAGGTTTGTAAAATCAGACTTCATATTAGATTTACTTGGGGCAGGACACATCTATAGTTAGTGTTCTAAGGGTCAACAAGCTCTTTCTGGTATGTAATTGCATCTTTCCTCTTGTAATTCAGGGATATCTTCTTATCCAGTTAAATTTGTTCATTCCTAATACCAAACCTTGTAGGACCCATTGGAATTTGCCAGCAAATGAAAGAGAAAATCCCTCCTTTGTGATGCTCACATAAGCATCACCTTGGTTGTGGGTGTTACCCCCGATCAGTCCACTGACATTATTTTCCTGATAACACGTGTCCCTACCTAGCATTCTCTTGGTTGCTTCTGTCTCCCCCACGGCAATGTAAGCATCACCAGGGCTTTGTTTATCTTTAATTAATCACTGTATCACAAGCATCAAAAATATATTAGATGCTCAACATTCATTGTTCAATTAGTGAATTTCTATTGACCTCAAATTGCTAAAGTATTTGGGATTACACAGGGTGTTGCAGAGCTCCCCACACTGTATTTTTAAATTAATTCCTTCCTAAATATCCAAGCTCCACTGTTTTCACCCACTGCCTCAGGCATTATTATAAGAATGACTTGAAGGACAGGAGGATGGCTTCATTCCAATTCCACTAGTATCTGTGCATTTTTAAATGAGTCAAACTAAGCTGATAACTCTATAGAACGAGTTGGTCAGCATGACATACTCCCAGCTTCCTCACTCTCGCTACTTTGGGTGGGTTCCTTGTCCAGCCAGGCCACTGAGGTCATGATTCAGCTTTTGGCCAAGGGAGGATCCTTGTTGCATCATCAGGCTTGTACGAGATTTGGTGTTTGTTCCACTCAATGAAGAAACAGAAAAGATAGGAAACGATCTGAGCACAGAGTGAAGGCTTAGAAGCTGATATATGAGAAAGATGGAGAGAAACAGTTTAATAACCCATGTAACCCAGGATGACACAGGAACTTAGGAGGGCTGGAAATCAACTGTACTCAGCACATGGTAGTTCAAAGAAGTTTTGCTGAATGATGGATGAATGGCAAAATCATGCAAACATGATGCCTGAGCTAAGGTATTGGTTATATCTACTTCTTGGCAGCTTCAAGTTATTAATTTGGGAACATTTCCAAATGCTCCAAGTGTAATGGGAAAAAAAAATAAGTAGGAACAAAAATTTAGTTAGTCATTTACTCACCTTTTTACCCACGTGGGGCCCACTGGTTCCCCCAATGCTTCTCTGCACTGATGGTGGCACCTGATATACCTCTTGTTCTTGGGTGCCGTGGCCAGTGGGGACTTGGTAAATTCCCTGATTTTGGTAGGAAGGTGGCACTTGGTAGATGGTGTCTCGGGGAGCAGCCTGTGGGTTTGGCACTTGATAGAGCTTCTGTTGGCCAAAGGTCTGCTGCATCAGTCCAGAGGCAGGCTGCTCGTGACTGGAGGCAGTCTCCTGCATGGGACCAATCAGAAGCTTCACCCGGTTGCCTGGGACAATGCCTTGCCGACCGTGTAATGAGCACAGCCACCATCCTTCCAGTCCCCCTGTGTTCTGCTCTATGACGGTCAGGATGTCTCCCTTGCGAAAGGCCAGTTCCTCGGCACACTCTGGGACATTGTCATATAAGGCCCTTGCCATAAGATTCTAGGAGGGAAGGAAGAGAAGGAAACCGTGTTAGAATATTGGGTCGGTCCCTTTATCACCTAAGGCCCGTGCTCTTATGGAAAGGCACACTTCCTGGAAAGAGAGAAGCATAAATCTGAACAATAGACTGTAAGGAGAAAAACAGATGGTGCAGACAAAAGACAGATACATATACACTGCATCTGCCACCAGTGACATCAGACTGCCTCCTTGGAAAAGCTCAAAACACCAGAAGAGTTCTTTCCTCTAGCAGGATATGCCGTGCCAAGGAATTATGAGTAGCAGTGTTACAGAGTTAGAGCATGGTTCACTATACAAAACATTTTTCTTCCTTTTTCAAAGTGAGCTTAAGGAAAAAAAAATCCCGAGATATTCAGATGTTCGACAATGAACATTTCTCAATATTGTTCTATATTGGAGGTGAAAAGAGTAAAAGAAAAATCCCAAATAACACACAGTACAAATAGCATTTATATTTGGAGTTGAAAAGCCAATAGAAGTACACATATATATGCCTTGGCAGGGCTTAGAAATTCTTGTTCTCAGATGACAGGAGCCTTGGATCCAGAGAGAATCCACAAGCAAGGCATGTAGACATGCCATCAAGCGTGGAGCATAGGCCAGCAGCCATATACATCTCCAGCTTTGACAACAAATTTATTAACACATAGGTGGATGCCAACTCTTCTCTCTCGGTCTTTTATGCATACCTTTCCTGAGGGCCCCTCCTCGCCCTCCCCTTTCGTCACCTACTTCTTGAATCTCACCATTCACATCAGAAAAGCTGTGCCTTCCCCTTTCATGGGCCCAACACACTCTCCGTCTTTGTATGAAGGCCTGTCTGGCACATTCAGTACTAAGCAGACAGCCAAAGTAGGCATTCAGCAGAGAGTGGGCAGGCAGTACGTGCTGACATTCTTGGAGGCCTTTCAAAGGCTCGGAAGATTTCATTTCTTGGCATTAGTAAAGTTTCCCAGCACGCGGGCAGCCATTCCCGCATGTCTGCCCCCTTCCCAGAGCACAGCGAAGTCGGGGACGTTGTTGATTCAGCACAAGCCCTCGGAACACTAAAAGTGAACTCTAATGCTTTGTTAAGATGTTTGGATGCACTTAATGTCATTGAGGTGGGGCTCATTTATGGAAGAAAGGATTACGGATTGGATGGGGCAGGTTCATGACTTTATTTTATACCATGACATATTCGTGGGATTTTCGGCTGTCATTGTCTGAGCTTTTGCTGTCTATTTTCTTCTCTAGCAACGTGGACTTGATCATTCAGCCTCGTGCTTTTCATTTCTTTGCAGCTGACTTGCACTACTCGCGTCCCCTTGTGCTAGCCCCATTGCCACGGGTCCTGTGTGTTTTCCGCTCTGGAGGGCTGTGCAATGGAAGGGATCTGCCCTCTATTCAGTAGTTGGGACGGGTCCAGTTCTGCTGCTGTGAGCCAGGTTCCTCTTAGCCAGGGCAATTAAAAGAGATAAAGCCATAGAGGACAGTCCTCAGGAAGCTTTGTGATACTCTTCAAGAATAAGGTTGAAGTCCTTTTTCTTGACAGTTATGAGATCCAGGAAGTGTGAGACACAGAGAGGTGAGCGGCCAGGGAAGCTAAAGGGAAACTGAGGAGTGCATATTTCAGGGGAAGGTTTCACTGGGTAGTTAATATTCCAGGAGGCGCTGGGTTTCATCTAACAATGAAAAGTTCACATACATAAAGAAAAAATCAGGCAGCAGTTTCCCCTGTTCATGGAACCATTTAAGGATGGTGTCATAATCCTAAAATTGTCTCTGTTTCTCTTCTCCCATCTTTTGGGTATTCTGTATTTTACAAGAGAAGTCATAGAGTTACAGAGGACAAGATTCTGGTCCTTTTACTAAAATGACCTCCAGGAAATGACTCCACCAGAGCTGTACTGAGATTATTAAGTGAGGAGATAGCTGACCACTCTGGCCTCTGTCTGTCCCTTTCTTCTGGGCCCATTCAGCAATCGGGAAGCCCCCACATGAAATCAGAAGCAACAGAGTCGGGCTAGTTGTATGGGAGCTGAGGGTTGGTAGCTGTGCAATTATACTGGCTACAAAGAAGGGAAAGAAGAGAAACAGAAAACAGTAGAAAGGCAAAGGGCTACAGATCTAATCAGCATAAATCAGCTCAAGGCATTCGGAATTGGGCCACTTCCAACTCCAAGAGCACCATGAGGCACTGAAGTGGAGCACCGGAGCATGCTTGATCAGAGGCAGATAGAAATCCCCGTGCGAGAGTCGTCCTGGGCGTTCTTTGTCTCCTGCCCCAGTAACCTTCTTACCACCTGGTGAGCAGCTGGCTAATGTTTCTACACTGGCCTGTGAGCTGCTTCTTGGGGGAAACTCTCAGAGCCCCACAGTCTGGGCTAATGTGGGCACCGCAGGTGAGTCCTCCTGACTGGTTGTCAGGACTTCCCAGCAGTCCTCCTCAGTGCCCATAGAGATTAGGTTTCAGGCACAGCTTGTCAGTGCTGTTAGTAGCCAGGACCCCGGCACCAGCCTATTCACACACCGATACATATTCTCAGCCTTGGCCGAACAGGAGTATGAGTTATTTAATATCTGCGCAAGCTACAGAGAGCCAATGTCTACATCCAGCCACTCTCCTAAACCGAAGCTTACGGCTCCAGGGACCTTTAGAGATCACCTGGACACAATGCCCTTGTGTCACAGATGAGGAAATAGATTTGAAGTTTATCATTTGCCCAAGACCACACTATTGGCAGCGATGGAAAGAGAATTGCGTTCTTTCAGTTTAATCCTCTTTCCAGAACTTTAAGCTACCTTAGCTCAGCCACGCAGCATCCTTGTTACTGGGCTCAGTTCCATTATATGATAAAGTTCTGAAGAGGAGCGGTTCTTCTTTTTGTGTCTATGGAATAAATTGGATATTTGCGGTCTTAGGTTCTAGCTGTGTTACTTTGCCAGGCAACAGCATCCCTTTGGGCCTTAGTTTCCCGGTCTTTGGTAAGCTATGGTGATGTTTTATTTAATTTGCTAGATGGCCCTTGGGCTTCAGGCTCCCTCCCCGCCTTGCCTCCTTTCCATTTGCAGTCCAGGCTTGGTCCTATTCCAATGATGCTATTATATATGTTTTGTACCTATCTGATATTTATCTTGCTCAGGATTACATTTCAGAAGAACTGTTATCTTAAAGCAGTATATTTCTGAATTATGAATGAGTTCTTGTCACTGCAACCTCTTGTTGAGTATCTGCCTACAAACAGCAATAGTGAAACCATTGGTTGCATTCAAGGGAACTTCTGAGACAACATATTAATAATGATACTACTTGATAAATTATGGATAAATGTCATCAGATTCCAACACAGATAATACATCAGCAGGTAGGAAAAGGCATGAGGCAGGAGTTGGACTTTCGAAAAGATTTGGTGTTGGTGCAAGGTTTCAGTAAGACCATAACAGCCAAATGAATTTCAGCTGGACCATAAACCATCTCATTCAAAAGTGCACATCAGTCGTAATAGGAAAATCAAGAATGAATTCTTCTGGCAAGGAAGTGGAGGGATCCTCTCCTTCAGTGCAAAGGTGTGATTCCTTGAGCCACAAAGTCAGAAGCTGATGATCTGCTATCTTAGAAAAACCCCAGAGAGGCAGTTTAATCTACTCAAGATGTACTCTTTCTCCTGCCCACTCACCCCCTTGGATATTTATCTCCAGGGTAGGGAAGGTCAACACAGAAACAAATCAAGGAGAGATAAGAGAGCTATGTAACTCTATATTCACTTGGATGGTTAGTCTCCAAAGGCTGGCAGTTAGCAGTGCAGCTAGAGCTTGGCAAAACACCAAAACAGTTAGGGCACAGAACTTGAAAGCCAGAAGGAACTTTAAACAATTACCGTCCAACCCTTTCACTTTACAAAAGAAAAAAATGAGCCTCAAGAAGTTAATGATTTGCCAGCTCACCTGGCAAGAAAGTCTTAGAGCTGAGACAGGAATTCAGGCCTCTTGTCTTCAGGTCTAGAATTAGGACAGAATTTAGTCAAGTGAAATACAGGTGCAACACAAGCTGTGGCTCTAATCAGGATTGCAAATCAGCATTTAGGATCATGAGCCCTATCTGAGGGAACCCTGATTGCAGCAGCCTCTAGCCTTGATCCCCAGCCCAAGCTTCCTTGAAACTGTCTTCTTCTGGCCTCCACGATACCACTTTTTCGTTCTCTGTCTTCTCTTGACCACTCTCATCCTTATTCTCCACTGGAGACTAAATCTTTTTCCCATCCCTAAAGTGATCATGTTCCAAAGAGATTTGTCCTTTGCACTTTCCTCTTCTCAGCTATGTGCTTACGCTCTACAGGAGGATGGCATCTGAACACACAGATAATTCCTAAAGCCATAGTCTTCGCTGGATATTTCTTCTGCATTCCAGTCCCTTATATCCAGTCTAATGGGCATCTTCCTCTCTAAAAGCAAGTGCAAACACCTTTTTCTCCTGCTTTGCTTTGCTTGGTTAACAGCATGCACACAGCTGTGCAGTAAGAGCCGCAGAGGTTTGCTGTGTCTCTTCATGACCTGCAACCCATCTGGGGCCCTGCTTTCCACCTCACTGCCACCCTTCATTCAGGTCTTCAGCAACTTTTTTTTTTTTTTTTTCTGTAGCACAGAAATTGCTTCCCAATTGGCTTTCCTGCATTAAATTCCTTCCTCCCTCGAAACCCATCTTCCATTTAACCAGAATGGGTATCTATTCAAAGGCTGTTTCCTTTCCCAGTTCTCGATCATACTATTTCTTTACAGTACAACTTGGATTGCCCTGTTCAAGACTGTGAACTCCTTAAGTTCAGAGATGCAAATTCCTTTTGCATTTCCAGAACTTTACCCCAGTATCCGAAACAAAATATAGACTCAGTAAATGTTTGCTAAGTTGAAATGGATTCTGGACTCTGATTTCCTCATTGTCTGCAGGGAGGGTGAAATTGTTGTACTTAGAGAATTCAGCAAGACATTTGGTTAGAATTTTCAGATGGAAGTGGGGAAAATGAATGAACCAGAAAGAGAAATGTCATGTCCAAGTCACTCAAGCCTCACAGCCAGAGACTATGGGAGACAGACAGCAGGAAAGGGCCTGCCCCTCCCTATTTAAACAGGATAATGACGCAGATCGGGAGCCTGACCCCCCTGAAACTAGTGTTCGCAACTACGGAGCAAACAGGAAGGCCAAGAGGAACTGACCATCCCAGTGAGATTAAACACAATGGTCTCTTTTAAGAGCCTTTCTCCCTTCAGTGTAGCAATCTGCTTTTGGCACTAGGTGACAGAGCACCATTCAAACACTTTGCCAGACCACTTGGGTTCTGCTGTTCCTGGTTCCCAAGCTATGCCTGAGGAGTGGGAAGAAAATACTGTACAGTTGACCAGAACGCTGGTACAGAGAGCTCTAGGACACATGACGGCTTCTACCCCTCACCCCACCTCCAACTCCTCCCTGCCTTTTTTCCCTTCCCTCACTGCTATCAAAATGTCAAGAAAGCTTATTACTCCTATGTCAGAGAAACGATCTGCTTTTCCAAATACGGAGAGGTGTGACTTGTAGTTTCCATGACCACTCATGCGGTCGTTTGAAGAGAAATGAGACAGAATGTCTGGTGTATCACCCCACTAAGACTGATAGCATCATCAATGGCCCGGCTTCCTCTGATTATTTTTACTTCATTCTATATTTGTCATGCAGGGGATCCTGCCATGGCCTCAGGGTTGCCCCATTCTCAATGACATGATTTTCCTGTACCCAATCCCCCAAAACTTTAGCCTGGACTCTTGTGGGTTTGCATGCCTGCATGCGCAAATGCATGCATGCAGAGGACAGACCCTGAGAAACAGACACATTCAAGGAAATGGCCATCATCAAGGAAGTCAGTCCTAAGGCAGGCAGCTGAGGGATGAACATTGTCAAGGTCAGTCTCAGGGCACAACAGGGAAGAGAAAGAAAGGCTCACGTGCTTTTGTGCATACTGACGAAAACCGGCTTTGGTCTGAGAACTGCAAACCATTTTGGCTACATTTCTCCTTTCCTTCCCACCATCACCTTTGGGATAGAGGGGGATGTGGGCTTTCCCCAGAGAAGGAAACAGCCATAGTCAGAAAACATGGATATCTGTAAGTGTCAGGATTTTAATTCTCAGAATACTTGGTTTACACTTAGGTTCTTGCATCTGAAGATCTGGAATGTCGAATTTTTTGAGTTGGTTCCTCTTGAGATTATGAAGTCACAGGCATGAAGCTTTCAATACAGGAGACAGAAGATATGATAAGTTATGATATAATATAAGATATGCTAATTTTTTCCCAGTACTATTTGTCGACTGTGTTCTGACACACTTTTCACTAGGTGAGCTGAATGGAGCTCACAGAAAGGCAAAAGCAGGACCCCACTTTGTCCCACTAATCCCTGGCATCCTTCTGCCCACTGCTGAGAGGTGTTCAACATTTCCCACAAGGCCTCCTGTGGCACCCAGACTGCATTTCAGGCAGTAATTTTTATTTTCTGGGAAGTGCTTCTTCTAGACCCCTATGACAGTTACAAAGCTTATAGGAGTATCTTGGACCCCCCCGCCGAATCTTGACGTCATTCACTTTGCCCCGAGTCCTCAAGTTTTCTTAGATTTTCCAGCTTTGTGAACTTTAGCTATAGCATTCTCTTTTGAGCATGTCTGAGTGGGAGAAGGTTTGAGAAATGTGACATTAAATACTTGCCTCCCGAAGGTACTCTTTGACATGGCAAGAGAAGCTGTTAATACTCCCTGGATGTGCTGTGGGGCAGCGCCCTGTGTGTGGTTGTAGATCCAGGGCTTGGAATCTTAACATCTCTTCCACACTGGCCAATCCTGTCTGATGAAGGATCATTTGGAACCCAGCACTATTTTGGTGGCTCATATACCAAAGTGAAGTTACTTTTTGAGGACTGGTGAAAAGATCTGATGCTCACTGCAAATTTGGATATTTGGATCTCAGAAAGAAATCTCTCTCTGACCAGATTTGGTAACATGATATGGACAGCATAGCTGTGCAATTACAAAGGGGTTCCTCAAAAGCTGGGTTCCTCTCCTTCCCCATACTTGAATGAATGCCATCTATTCTTGCTTGATTTAGGGTTCGTGCTGGACAGACACATTCATATGCTAGGATTTGTTTACTATGTAACCAACAAAATCTTAGGGCAAAGAGTTAGTAGGCAGATTTGCATATATGTGTGTATACGTGCAATGTCACAGTCAACTTCTATTATTTCCTGGCCCACGGTGGAAGATGAATTTGACTGCTGAGTTCTTTTTCACTCATCTGTGGTCTTTGGGTTTACCGAAGCAACTCCTGAGAATCTTAAAGAAGGTGGAGGCCGCGCACGGTGGCTCACACCTGTAATCCCAGCACTTTGGGAGGCTGAGGTGGGCAGATTGCCTGAGCTCAGGAGTTTGCGACCAGCCTGGGCAACATGGTGAAACCCCGTCTCTACTAAAATACAAAAAATTAGCCAGGCATGGAGGTGTGCACCTGCAGTTTCAGTTACTCGGGAGGCTGAGGCAGGAGAATTGCTTGAACCTGGGAGGCGGAGGTTGCAGTGAGCTGAGATCACGCCATTGCACTCCAGCCTGGGTGACAGAGCGAGACTCTGTCATAAAAAAAAAAAAAGAAAAAGAAAAAGAAAAAAAGAAGGGGGAAGAACACCTAGGTTTTTTATAGGTATTAGAACCAGAAGTCACCCATACCTTGACCAGAGTTGATTAGAGTAGAATTTCAGAGTAAGAAGGAACCATTCTAACCCAATCTCCTTATTTTACAGCCCAGAGGGTCTCAGATTAGCGGCAGAGCCAGAGCTAGCATCTGGTTCACCTCTTAATCTAGAATTTTTCCCCACCGGACAAGGATGCCCTTCCTGAGAATCTTCTCCATCTTAGAAGTCAGCACTGTTGCTATTAAGCCTTGGAATCTCGAAGCATTTGTCCCAGGTTGCCTGATTTTGATAGATTTCAGTACAGTATCTTGGCAAGGGGTCAAAAATGCGGGGCAGGCACAAGCTGTTTTCAGGGTTCTGTCTGTAGATAAATCTGACAGGCACCATATAATGATGAAGGCCTGACACCCACCCACCCACAAGATAGATTTTATTAACAATAAAACAACCATCTGGATTTCAGCCAGCATTACAGTGTTGGCACTGGATCATATCTATCTGCCTGTCTAGACAAATCCCTCTAACATCCAGGTACTCAGGGAAGAGAAATAAGAATTAAGTTTTAATGGAGTAGGAGACCCCAATCTACTATATTACAATATACTTCCAAAAATGATGTCATTTCTCAAAGTCAAAATGCACAAGTTATAACATCTGATAAGGTGTTTGAAAGAAGAAAAAGAGGTTCCTATTTTTCCATTCCTGTCTATCTTATCTTCCTTCACCAAGCTATGCAGCCCAAGGTTATATCTAAACCCACCAATACAAATGCATACACATCCTGGCAACTGTTGTCCATCTCCCAGCCAGAACCGAGTTGATGTAAATAGGATGCAACCCTCCCTGGAACTCTTTTAGATGTCACTTGACCTGGATTTGGTGCCTGATTGGTATTATCTACTTCACTTGTGAGGTCCTCAGAGAGTTTTAGAAAACAGATTCACACACTTGGCTGAGAGGTGTTTACAGTCATACACTGTCAGCAATGCAGCCACTAAGCTGTCTCAAGGAAGAGTTTTTGAAGCTGCAGCTTCTTAGTTAGAAGACAGGGAAAAGGTGGCAGGAGCAAAGGGAACAAAAAACCTTCATTGTGAAATTGTTCAGTGCCGAGGTGGAGAGACAAGCTCTTACACGCACATGTTATACACCAGTTTATGAGAATAAAATAGCTTTCTTAAAGACCCAGCTCTAAATGCATGTTCCATGATGAGGTACATATTGTAGAGAGAGAAGCCAGAGAAATACTTTAAAGTTGCCTTAGAGATGGTTTGATGGGTTTTACATTTGACTTGAATGAAACTCTGCGCTTCTTAGTATTTTGTGGTATTCACTGAAACAAACTGGGGCTAGGCCTGTAAGAGGAAGTTGCTTTTTGGTTAGGACCTGTTACATTAAGCTCAATATCAGTAATGATAAAATTATGGCAGTCAGTTCTATGGGGGTATTTTTGAGTAGGGCAGTTATTTTTAAGGAGAAGGAGTAGAAGAGATTAGACCACTGCTTCTCAACTAGGAGGATTTTTGTCCCCTCTGGGTACGGGCAATGTTTAGTGGCATTTTTTGGTTGTCACTGTGTGTGTGTGTGCATGTGCACATGCATGCACACGTGTGTTACTGGCATCTAGTGGGTAGAGTGGCCAGGGATGTTGCTAAACATCCTACAGTGTACAGGACAGCCCCCACCACAAAGAATGACCTGGCCCTAAGTGTCAATAGTGCCAAGGTTGAGAAACCCTGGATAGAGGAATGGACACCAGACTGAATTAGGAGGGTCTAGCTTCAGACTTCACATTTGAAGACTAATGACCATCAAATCTCTGCCTTTTGTGCCTCTGTTTCCCTGTCTGCAAAATAAATATTAATAGACATGTTCTTCTTTATAAAAATATGAGGAATCATGAGATTATTTACTCCAAATGCTCTGATTTCTTCAGGAAAAAGAGTCTCTATAAAATCAAAGCACAGTTATTATTACTGCGCCAAGATGAGCTCATGAAATTGTGTCTTAAGAACTGTACTCCTCCCCTTGGAAAAAAAAACTTCCTCTAGGAAAAAAAAACCAACAAAACAAAAAACCCAGAAATGATCTTATCATGATTACACCTGCCACACCAAAAAACAGACACACTTCAGAGAAATGAAATTCTTTCCCTTCAGCAATGAACTAAGCTGAGTCTGTAATTAAGATCTTAATAAGGGAGGCAGGAGGCTTGATTCAGGTGCTGCGGGCTATGAGGCGAGAGCGCCCATGCCAGGTTTAAAGCAAGAACAATTGGATGCAAATCCCCCGCACTGCTTAACACTCTCAGGTGTTCCAAACAAGTTCTTATTTCAAAATGGGCATGGCTTTATTTCTAAAGATGCCTATTTCTGCAAAGAAAAGGAAAGAGAGCACCTTGTTATTTACAAGTCAATGAAAAAAAAAGCACAACATCTTAGACAGTTTCCTGCAAAAGGCTGCTGTAAGGGAGATGGGATAATGCCTTCGACAGTGGATTAATCTCAGGAGCAGCCCTTGATGACAGTCTCTAGAGTGACCATGTGCTTCCGGACTCTCCCAGGCAGTCCCCAGGTTCAAATATCCTTCCCTTTGTCAGACCATATGTCCCATTTTTTTGGTTTGTAAAACATGGATACATACTCACAAAAAAGAAATATTTTTGAAACCAACAACAAAGGATGGGAATGTAAGTATATTTCTTGATTATGGATCTGCCATGGCTGAATTTCGGATTTGGGAGAAAAAGAGCTAGGCACTGATAAGAATCTTAAATTCAATCAACGTTATGTGTTCTCTAATTGACAAGGTGATGTCTGTAAGGAAATGAGATCGATTCCAGTGCCTCTGGGCCTCTGTGAGATAGCCTAGAAGTCCAGCTCCACAGTGACAGGGGTTATCAAGAGAAAGGAGGCTGTCGGGCTGCGTTCATTTCTGCTATTCCCTTCCTTGAACCCATTTAAAGGTGTGCTTGTCATGCTGGGCTCTGAGTGGAGAGGGTCAGGGAAGCGGAGATAGCACTGGACTTCTGCCCCAGGGGAGCATGCAAGGGAAAGAGGGCTCAACATTTTGCTAGGCCAATGCTGCTGTGGTAGTGCGACTGTACCACAGGTCCACGAACCCATTTCCTGCCAAACTCTCAGTCATGCCACAGTGACTAGTAACAAGAACGAAAGAACAAAAGGAAAAGAAAAAAAAAATCTCATCGACAGATGACTGATGTGTCCTGACACTGAAGACTCAGAAGTAGCTGGAGTGTCTAGAAGTCCACTTACTGCCATTTTCTGTGTGCTGGCTTTGCCTGTTATGGTTATTTTGGGAGGCGGAGGGTGTTGGGGGGCAGAAAAGCCCAGCTCATTCTTAAAGAGTCCTCTAGATGAGTCCTCAGTTAGCCTCATCTCCTGTGGGAGTGAGGCATTAAATTAAGGAAAACAAGTGGACTGTCATGAATCACTGAGATTAAGGCTAACTCATAGTTACCAAGAGATAGCACAGTGTTTCTGCCTGACCAATAAAACCTAGGAAAAACATGAATGACATATACTATCTAAATGCACAATGCCTTAAGAAGTAGACAGGAGATCTGGTTCAAATCTGAACTTTACACGTGTTTTGGTTACTGCAACTTTCTACTGGGTTTCACAGATAATTAATCCATCCACCGCCCCCCTGCCCCCCAACCACACATACACACAGTAAAAAAAGGAATTCAAATTAATTTCAAAAGGGCTATCAAATATTTTTGTTGCTTGAAATGGTTTCACTTTTACATATTTGTTGCTAAATCTTTGTTTCCTGTGGGCATAAACATAACATTTCATGTGAGGGACATTTTTAGTAACATCATATAACTATTACCTTGATATGTTAGACATATCAGGGGGAATTCTAATTCGCAAGACTGAGATTTGCAAAGAAACATGACACTTACAAATCACTGGATCCAGCCTTTGAATAAGGATCATGAACTACCTACTTAGACACCGTGTAAGCACCAGAAGCACTAGTAGTGGTTAGTGAGGGGATTAGGGAGAAAGAGACTAGCTGTTTTGTTTGTTTGTTTATTTGTTTGTTTGTTTTGTTTTTGAGACAGTCTCACTCTGTCGCCCAGGCTGGAGTGCAGTGGTGCAATCTCGGCTCACTGCAAGCTCCGCCTCCCGGGTTCAAGCCATTCTCCTGCCTTAGCCTCCCAAGTAGCTGGGATTACAGGTGACCACCACCATGCCCAGCTAATTTTTTGTATTTTTAGTAGAGACGGGGTTTCACCGTGTTAGCCATGATGGTCTGGATCTCCTGACCTCGTGATCCGCCTGCCTCGGCCTCCCAAAGTGCTGGGATTACAGGTGTGAGCCACCGCGCCCGGCCTTTTTTTTTTTTTTTTTTTAAAGAATAACTGGGATTTAATAGTCCATTGTGGGGCCCAGGAATATGTATTGGAAAACATTCCACTGGCAACTTTAATATCTCCATGACAGCTGCCTCCACTCCCTACGTCAACCATGAAAAACTGCTGTCAGCTCCACCACTATCCATATTTCTGGAGTGCCCGTTCTATCTTCCTCAAATTCACCTAGATCTCATTGTTTGGTCAAACTGTCTTCAAAGAGAGTCACCCTTTCCAATGAAGGGTACAAAAGGTTACCAACAAGGTGACTTATCTTAAAATGCAGATTGTTCAGGAAAATAATCCTTTGCAGGCTGTCATGTTCCCTAGCTGTGTGGAATCCTCATTAGCCAGCAGGAATTACTGCAGAGAGATGGCTGGAATGTTCAAAGTAAATAAGATGGAGGGGGGTGTTGTTGGCAAAGTATAAACAGGGTTTTTTTTTGTGTGTGTGTGTCCCCTTTTCATGCCCGTACTCTTTGCAACCATCTATCACCTAGGAAACCGTCAGTTACTCTCTGGCATTTTAAGTTAGAAATATAGTATTTCTTCCCAATGGCCCTGTTTCATTTGTCTTGGCGAGAAGTCCTGGTAATTCAGCCTATATGTTCTTGCAGAGTATTGCCTTGGTCCTAGTGGTTGGCATTTCAAACCAATTTGTTCAGATTTCTTTCTGACCCTAAAATGATCTAAACATAGACAACCAAGACCTCTTACTTTACATTTATGTCATTCTAATTGACTGCAATTGGATAAGAGAGTTCACCCTGAACTTCTCATGTACTCCCAACTTACATTCTTTGGATTTTATCTTTGGTTTTTTGAATTGACGACTTTCTCTTCCTCACTGATATTTCTGTTATGGGTAAACAATTCTAGTGAATGTCTCCTTTAAACACTTTTATCTATATAAAAATTCCATATCTATATATCTGTATATCTTTGTGGGTATGTGTATATAACATCATATAATAGCTGCCATTTATTAAATGCCTAATATCTGCTAGAAAGGACAATTGTCATATATTATATCCTATAACTATCTGACAAGACAGGTATTATTCTCATTTGATAAATGAGGAAAAGAAGGTTTAAAGTAGCTAGCATAAAACTATACTGTTAGAAAGTAACAAAAGTGGGATCTGAAACAAAGCCCATGTTTTTTGTTGTTGTTGTTGTTTTTTTACTATGCCATATAGTATTAAGATCCTCTTAAATGGCTATTTGTGTATACATTTTGTCTTCTATGAGCAAAGTCTTGTAATTTCAGGAATACTGAGTCCAATGAACAATAATGAAGGAATCAAGTCATTAGTATATTAGCAAGTGGGGTCATATGCTGTTAGGGCCCTATGCTTACAATACACATCCAGGCCCACAGAATACTCAACAATATTCAACCATCTCAACCTAGTAACTGGGATTTTGACATAATTCTGTCACCAAGTCTTGAGTACATACCATCCTTTCAACATCTATTGAGCATCTACCATACAAAGAGAGCTGGAGCCAGCTTGCATTGTCTGCTTACTATATGCCAAGAGCCATAGTAAGTACTTCATTCATATATTATCCCAGGTCTTCGAATAGTATGAGGCAGTTATTCTTATCCCTATTTTACAGACAATGCTGTAAAATGAGGCTTAGAGAGCTTAACTTGCCTAAGGTCCAGAGCTATAAGCCATAAGGAACAGAAATGCCTTTCTTCAAAGCCCATGCTCTATCATGTCTCTAACACAAGAGCATAAAACACCAAGTCTTGGCCCCCTCAAAACTTCACAGACCCTAGATCATGTTTTTTATTCAAGGACTTTTCGATCAATCTGCCTCTACATACAAATAGAGGGTGGGTCTCTCATATTCAGTGGGGTTTACTTAAAACTAAACAGGCCCAGTAGGCAACCTATCTGAGTTACAGGTATCCTTTAGATAACGATTTGATTGAAAGAGGTCAATAAGTAAGGTAGTGCTAACAGAGTAGGGCAGAGGTGAAAAGCATAACAGCCTATTTTAGGGATTATAGGATGGTCCAGGAGACACAGGTTTCAGAGTTTGATTGTTTAAACAGAGTGGATGGATGAGGAGACTTTACTAGCGGGACTGACAGGCCACTCAAGTCATGTAAACGCAAACAGAGAGGCAGATGAATGGGGGCAGTGAGGGACCAAGATTTCCCATAGCAGAGTCTAAGGAGAAGGAAAAATGAGGGCTACAGAATGTGCATTAAAAGTGTCACATCTGTGTGTGGGAGGCAAGGGGGCGGCAGTAGATAGGTGCGGGTGGGGGGCTGGGGAGTAGGGGGTTGGAAGTAAGATCTACGGAAGTCAGTATTAAAGAAGCGTAAGGAAAGCCTGAAAAGAAGAAGAAGAAGATAAAAGGAGAACCAATGAGGTCATAAAAGCACGAAAGTGGGAGAGAATTTGCAAAAAGGCCGGGTGCGGTGGCTCACACCTGTAATCCCAGCACTTTGGGAGGCTGAGGCAGGTGGATCACCTGAGGTCAAGAGTTCGAGACCAGCCTGACCAACACAGTGAAACCCATCTCTACTAAAAATACAAAACTTATCCAGGCATGGTGGTGGGCACCTGTAATCCCAGCTACTCAGGAGGCCGAGACAGGAGAATCACTTGAACCCAGGAGGCAGAGGTCGCAGTGAGCTGAGGTGGCACCACTGCACTCCAGCCTGGGCGACAGAGTGAGACTTGATCTCAAAAAAAGAAAAAAAGAAAAGTGGAGAGGAAGGTGTTTTTTTCAGAAGACTGGAGTGAAGGGAGAGACAGGGAACCACTGAATTCTGAGAACAGGGACTGACGTGTATCCCAGCAAGGAAAGGATGCTAAAGGAATCCTTGGCATGTTACGCACTGTACAACTTGCTAAATTTGGTATTATCAGGCACCTTCAGTACTCTAAAGGCTTTTATCTCTGTGTAGGTAAGCCATTTAGCTCTGCAAATGGGTTTACTAAATAAATAAATAAATGCATAAATACATAAATAACCAAGTTGATATTTTTCAAAGCATGTTTTAGTGATTTTAAATCCATAGATCTCATACAAGGTTTAAAAAGGAAAAGGACAGGAGTCCTACATTTGGATTGGTTGCAAAAATCATACAGAGAAAAATAAAGCATTTTAAACCAAAATATCAAAGCAAGGAAATAATTGGGAATTTAATAGCTTATGCATGACCATATTGACTAAATTAAAGATCCTCTGTCATTATTTTCCTCGGTCTTGCTTGAGGAAATACGAATACTTTCAAAGTCCTTTCCAAAGCGTTTCACGGCACACAGGTTCTCCTTTCCCTGACCTACCCCATTCAACCAGAACACAGGACTCTGACTTTCAGAATGCACCTTTCTTAATGGCATTGTAAGTTCCGTCTGTAATTTTTCTTCAGTCAAAACGTTAAAGAATGAATTTGTTGCATGGTAGACGAGATAAATAATTTAGAATTTTAATGTAGGCACGTAAGGGCTCAGAAATTTGGCAAAGCCACAAAAGCGTCTCTGCTCAGCCATTAGCAGCCAGGCCAAGGGGCCGCTGAGCCCCCGCCCGGGCTGGGCCTGAGGTGGGCGGGGCCTCGGGCCTGGCAGGCACAAACGGGGTGGGGTCTCGGGGGCTTCTGCTCAAACACAGCTGCGCAGAGACCCTTCCATCACCCTCCTGGGAAACAGCACAACCATACACCTCCAGACCCTCAGGAGGGAGCCTTCACTGGGTAAGCAAACCAAGGCCATCGAGGCAATCACCTAACCCCGCCAGCCCCCGCCCAATTAAGAACATGCTCTGTATATGAAGGGGATTTTGTAGAAAATTCTTAATAAATGAAGCCCCCGTAATTTACTATCACATAACCACAGACTGAATCCCTTCTAAGAGAAATGGAAAATTAAGTACGTATGACAGTGACTGCAACCTTCCTGTGGACAAATAAAAACATACAGGGAAATAAAGACAGATTAGATAAGTGCTAACCAGAAATGTCTGTCCGGAGTAATAGCTTACATTCCACAGTTCTCAGGATTACTGCAAGTACCTTGCTGCCTGGCCTGAAGCTATGTATATTAAGTGCAAAATAAGTGAAGGTTTGTTGTTCCGTAGTTGTGATCCCTGGGGCAGCCAAACCAGATAATCAGGTTAACAACGACAATCTTATAGGGCCTGATTCATAAGTCTTTCAGTAAACATTTTAAGGTTTGTGCTAAATTTACAGTGCATAGAGCAACGTAGTATTTTAGAGATAATTCCTGTCTCTGGGATTTTACCATCTAATAATTATCTGGTTTTACTACCTAAGTGGCTCGAATTAAACAAATAACTGCCAAACATGCACTTCATTTTGCTTTGTAGAGTTACTATCTTAAAAAGAAATTATCCTGCAGGAATACTTGGGATGAAATAGTCTTAAACTTTCTGGGAGAAGAAAACACTGGCCATATTTTAGAGAGGTCAACGATAGCTCTTTCTCTTTCTCTTAATAGTGGTTAAAGTCATGAGTTCTGGAGCCAGATCGCCTTAGTTCTAATCCCAGCTCACCACTTTCTAGCTGTGTGGCATTAGATAAATTACTTAGCCTCTCTGTGTCATTTGAAATTGAGTATAAAAATAATACCCACCTTGTAGAGCTATTGGGAGAGTTGAATATGACAATCTTGTGTTGTCACAGTAAGTCTCAATTAATGTTACTTCATTACTTTTGTGTCTCTCCTCTACTTACAATAACAAAATCCTTTCCTGAAGTAAAGTTGTTCATTATTAACTAGAGAGAAAGAAAACTTTATAAAAAAGGAAAGTGGATTTCTTCAGCTATTGGTTGATTTAATAGTCATCATAGGGCATAAGTCATGTGTTCGGTCGGAGAAGTTAGCTTTTTTGCTGGTGAAGGTGCCTACAAGGTAATAAAAATCATGTATTTACATCATTTGGCAAGGTGTTCAACACCAGTAAGGCCCAGTGGAGAAGCAGGTTTCTCCATGAATGCCAATCGCAGTTTACGCTGTCAGTCACTTTATCAGTTGCCTTTAGATTTTCTTTCCATAAAGAGTAAAGCTAACCACGATGAGATCATTGAATAAAAGTGACTTGAGACTTTGTCGCTTTCGTCACTTTCTAGATTATAGCACTCAATGTTAATTTCAGCCATTTATACTTTCCAATAATAGACATATGAACATACTTTCTCTTTTTTCTGCAAGCCAGTTCTTATTCAACAACAGGGAAAGGAGGAGCAAAAAAGTCACTCCAGGCTGAGTAATATCTGGTCCTATCATTGTTCTAAATAAGGAAATATGGGGTGAGCCACTTTAAGGAAGATAACTTTCCTGCCAAGTAGAGGGATTTGTTTCTGGTTGCATCCTAAAGTCAAATATTAATAGTCTTCAGGATGACCCTTTCCTCTGATCTTCCCTACTGATGAAGATAATAGAAAGCTGATGAAACAGAAATAGCTGATACCTGTGTCTTCAGACAGTGGTAACGTAGGCATTACTATAAAGACTTTTGACATTTAGACTTAAAGCTTTTGAATAAGATTCATAGTTTTTGAACAAAAGCTTTATTACTGAGGCTAGTCAGTGGCTATCAGTTAGACCAAGTATTTACAACCTTACATCAAAAAAGGATGGACCAGAAAAATTTAGAAAAAAAGCGAAGTAGCTTCCAGCTAGTGTACAGTTAATATAAATTGTCAATCCACAAGCCTAGCACCCTTGCCCAAATCCATCTTAATAATAACACTTTTGTTTAAAATAGCATAAAATAAAATAGTAGCACTAGCACTCATGTCTATTCATCATTCAAGAAAAATTCATGTCCAATTCATTGCAGTCTGCTTTCTTTGTGTCCCCTGGAAGCTGCTTGCCTCCTTAGATGGGAGTGACTTAAAAGAAAAAGGGGAGGGGGGAATATACGGAGCAAGTCAAAAATCCTTTTGGCAAGAAAAATCCACAAACAATGGTGTAAAATGCATTGGAAAATAATGCTGCTGAAGTACTATGACTATGACACTCTGTAAGCTTTCAGGCACAATGAGCCAGCCTGAGCCTTCGCACTCTCACCCCATTCAAACTCCAATAAAAATGTTTTCAAGAAATGGCTCATACTTATTTATTCCTACATCCAATATAACATAAGGATGTCAAAATTTTCCATCCTCAGCTGTGTAATCTGGGCTTTTAATTTCTCCCACCAAAAGTGCATATGGCATACTCCTTCCGAGACCAAACGATTAAAGCAAAGTCTGGAAAACTTTGCACTAAGAGCCAGTCTGAGACAGACTATGCAGTCCTCATTCCTCTCATTACAGTTCCCCAGGGCAGTGGAAGCCAGGCCTGGGGAAGCCAAGGAGACTTGAGCCAATGCCTGCCGCGATTCAAGTCAGACACCCTCTGATCTCCAGTGGCTGCTGTGAAGCGGCTCCAAGTCTTAACTTCTCACCGAGGTATTTCCCCGGCAACTTTCAGAGCAGATGGACTCGGGTGTACTGTGAACCCCTGGAGTGGGTCTCAAAGACCGGGTCTCTGCTTGCTTGTCTGCTTGCATGTCAACCTCAGTGACCGAGACTCATCTTAGAACTCTCCGGGACACACAAGGGACTGACAGTAAGGAACACGCATACACAAGCACACACCCGCAGGCACAGCTTTCAGCTTGCAAGGTAACCTGTAAAAGGCACTCTCTTACCTTATACTTCATTTCGGCAGCGGTGGGTTGAGCCGTTTTCCTACACTAGTTAAGACAGCATTAAGCACTGCGGTGCCCGCCCCTCCATTGAGTGCAGCGCTAGATGAAAGCGAGAAGGTCCCGGGCAGAGCCGCTTGTCAGTCGCAGCGCCTCCCTCAAGTCTCTGAGCTCACTGTTGTGACTGAGGCAGGCTGATCGCGGACCTCATTTGCATGCCGCCCCGCCATTGGCTAGTGGGACAAGGTAATGCTCAGGCCCTGCCCACCCCTAATTCTGAAAAACTGACAAAGAACTTGTAATGTGATCGCTTCTTTTTGCTTTATCAGACGGTGGAAAATAAAACAGAAAGTGGGGAACCGTCCTGAACCTTACTCTGTCCTCCCGCCCCCGCCAAAAAAGAAGACAGAAAGAGAAAGAACAGGAAAAGGAGATACATTCTTTTTAAGATTAACCCAAATTTTAAAGAAACTGAATTCACAAAAGCAGTCTGACAGTCGCGCTTCCTGTGACCTAGCAACTCCTTCATAAACCCATTTCGTTTCAAAGCCATTCACCTCACAATCTCTACATGAAACGAACTCCGGGAACAAAAGGTTTTCTGTCTCCGGGCCCCTTTTTACTAACCACCCCTGCTGATACCTCTCTCTCTCTCTGTCCCTTTTTCTTTCCCCCTCCTCCCGCCTACTTTTTGTGTGTGTGTGACTGTTTGCTTTTTTTGTTCTTTTCAACGTTCAAAGTACTTTGCGATGTCAGTCTGCAAGGAGCTGGAAGACAATTCTCCCTTAGTGAAAAGGAACCCTCTAGCACACGCACCAGCGTTTTCCTGGACAGCTTCTCACCAGGGCCTCAGAGTTGCGGGTCACACATATTGAGCGACCTTCAGTGGCTTTGCTGAGGATAAAGGTTAGATGTGACCTCTCGGATGGGGTTGGCCAGTGCACGCCCTATACATCATCACCGTCCACTGAGTTCTGTGTTCTTTGACGGCTGGCATTTCTAGCTCCAGCTTTGAACACTGCAGTGTTTTTCCTTCTGACCTCTGTCCTGAGGATGACCCATTAACCCACCAACACTTATTATCCAGGAGAACGAAAATGCCCACTGTTTGATGAGCCTGGTTAAAAAGACCAGTCTCTCTCCAGCGAAGCACAGAACATAATTTCTATAAAGGTTCCATTTTAGGATTTCTATAGAGAAAGAGAATCACCCAGAAAACAGAAATGGTCACCTTCTGCAACTCTTCTCACGGACAGAGCAGTGAGGCGAAAAATTCCTTTTTCCCGGGCAAGACTGAGACTCGGTGAATCCAGACAATAGCTGTCCCTGAGTGGGATGCACTCCAACCAGACTACATGACTTGGATGGAAAAATCAGCCCTTATTTTTTTTTTTCCTGACCAAGTTGGATCAGAATCTGATTCCCTTCGCGTCTAACACACAAATTCCCAATGGATGAAAACTCTACTTTTATGATCTAAGCAAAAGGAATGAGAGAACAGCTGTCCTACAAAAGTGGTTTCCAGATACAGGGTTGGCAGGTTAGTTTGCAGTTCAGTGTGGCACTGATTCCAGGGACATGACCCCCCAGGCCATCCTAATGAGGTTGACATACCTGTTCCAGCCTGTATTAGGCCTTGCTTCTCCTCATTTGTCCTTAGAGCAAAAATAAGCCTGAGTGATTGTGCAAGGCCTTTCTGAACACAAATTAAGCACGCAGCATATTGCATTGTAACGATCTCCTTAAGAATCCTGCAGACTGACCGGAGAGTCGTTAGTTTGCAGGAAATTGTTTTTGGTGTCTACCTGGATAAAGGAGGACAATGATTCAAAGCCCTTCCCATCTGTAAGATGAGTCTTGCGGCCTCCAAGAGATCTAGATAACATTCCTTTGGCTTCCTAAGTGGTCAAGCTGAATCCTTTTTCTGTTTTGTTTGATGAATATCATTGAGTAAGTGAGTGCTGTCCCATCCTATTTTAATGTTTTCAAACAGTTTCCTAAAGTTTGTGCTGGGGTTTTTTTGTAATTTCATTCTCTAGCTAGTGGCCCTCCTGCTTTCCTGTTTCTGTCCTGTAAGGTAAGTAAGACACATGTAATCTACCCGAAGTTCATTTCAAGAAGGCTTGGGTCAGTATATAGTTAGCTGCCTAAAGGAAAGCACAAGGGTGTTGGAATCAGGTAAACCTGTGCTGGAACCTCAAAACATTTTTAATTTTTTTTTTTTTTTTTTTTGAGACAAAGTTTCATTCTTGTTGCCCAGGCTGGAGTGCAGTGGTGCAATATCGGCTCACTGCAATCCCCGCATCTCTGGTTCAAGCAATTCCCTCAGCCTCCCGAGTAGCTGGGATTACATGTGTCTGCCACCATACCTGGCTAATTTTTTGTATTTTTAGTAGAGACGGGGTTTCACCAGATTGGCCAGGCTGGTCTCGAACTCCTGACCTCAGGTGATCTACCTGCTTCAGTCTCCCAAAGTGCTGGGATTACAGGCGTGGGCCACTGTGCCTGGCCAGTTGAACTTCTTAATTTTGATGTCCTTCAGTATGAAATAGAGAAAATAATAATACCTGCTAGCCTCATAATGAGGATTAAATAAGATAATGTGGATAGAATTTAATAGTACTTGTTACATTGTAAGACCTTAAATGGTTGCTTGTTCTTATTACTGTTGTTATTAGTTATTATTTTAATTAATATCAGATTTATGATATTTTGTTAATATTTTATGACATTATTGCTATATTCTATAGATTATTATTTAATTATTGTATTAATTATAACTAGTATTAATATTAGACTACTGTTGATAAGTGTGGTAGGCATTCAGAAGAAGTTGGAGGAACCCCTTCTCTGTGTGCCATTCTTTCATAAGGCAGCTTTCTCACTGAACTGTTATCACTAGAGCACCTAGCATGTGCCAGGTACCTTTCTAGGAGGGGAGGATACAGCAGTAGCCCAGACAAAGTTCCCATCTTCATGGAGCTTACAGTCTAGTGAGAGTTGAGGAAAATAATTAAATGAATGTATAATATGATTTGCAGTGATAAATGCTATGAAGAAAAATTAAGCAGGGAAAATTGCTGGAGGAAAACAGACCAGGGTGGGACAGGAGGTGTATTATTTTAGATAAAGTGGTCAGGGAAGCTCCTCTGAGGAGATGATATTTAAGCAGAAATCTGAATAGTTTCAGGGATCCAGCCACTCAGAGATCTAGGGGATGAGCATTCCGGACAGAAGTGACCCAGGGGAAGGGCCCGCAGTAGGCACGAGCTTAGTGTGTCTAAGCGCAGCAAGCTGTCTAGTGTGCTTAGCGTGGGGTACACAGGGCTGGATGGAGAGGATGAGCTCAGAGAGGTAGGTGGTAGGGAGCTTGGATTTTTTTCCTGAGTGTGACATGAAGCCTCTGCAGTGTTTTGACCAGGGAGTAATCTGTTTCTCTCCGGTTTGTTAAACACTCAAGGACAGCAGGCTACTAGTTAAAATATTGAGCTCTGGTCTTAATGCAGCTTAAATAATGCAGATAGTTGTTACTTTATTAGTGTCATTTAGTATGTTGCCCTTAAAACTCTTCAGGGAAACACAAATTGTCTCAGTGAATACAGAAACAATTCCCTTCCTCATTTATTACTATCAGATGCAAAAATGATGTTTAAACTGGGCTATGTAATTGATTTATGCAGCAGCCCTAGGATTCCCATAGAGACCCTCCTGAAATTGGCTAGAACTCTGGGCCTCCGGTTCCACTTCCTGCACTTGCCAGCACTCCGGTGGGCATCCCCTCCTGTCATCCTTGCCGCCTGCCTGCTCTTCAACCAAGCACTCTTCCTTCCAGATGCTTGTGCAGGCAGGAGTGAGGGAAATGGCACCGGATGCCATTCTAATGATTTTCCAGCTGCAACTGGGCACTGGCATAAATACAGCAAAAAATCAAGAGGAGGCTAGAAAGAAGAAATACTTCTGTTGACAACTTGGAATGAACCCACGTGACTGCTCTCTAAGAGTGAAGGGCAAAGAGTGAAGAGCATGTGAGGGCAGGAAATGACTTTGGAAATCACCTAATCCAGCCACTCATAGAGAGGGCAGAGCTGTCTGTCGCTCAGAGAGATTGAGTGCCTCACACAGGGCCCCACCAGTTTGAGTTATAACAGCAATTGGTGGTGAGGTCAGGCCCCTGAATCTCTTGGTCTGGTCTATTCTAATGATTTCTTTTTAGTTTCTTTGCCTAACTCTCTCACTGCTGTCATCTATCTTCCACGTTGCTCACTACGTGTTTAATTCCTGGAATACAGAGTCGATCACATTACTACCGTGTTTAAAAACCTCTAGTGACACTTCAATGGCTTAACAAGCAAAATCTGGACACTTTGGCATGGACCACCATCTGAACCCACCCTTTCTTTCTCCCTCTACCGCCGACCCCCATCCCACCCTCTAGCCATACTTGGGAGTGTGGGGTTGCCGGGAACTTACTGATTCCAAGACGGACTTGCACCTTCCTGACTTGCACAGGCAGGCCCCTTTGCTGAGAATGACCCCCCTTCACTCTTCTGCTGTCAAGTTTGGCCTCAACACTAACCCTTTTGTGTATCCTTGTCTACAACCCCCACCCTGCCCACCTCGCCCTTTCAGAACTAATTCCTCCCTCCCTTCACTATGCCCCCATTGTACTGGAACACGGCCCTATTATAAGGGCTTTCCACGTTGTCTCATAATGATTTGTTGATGTCTGTTTCCCCAGCTCCGATGTGTGTTCTTGGGGAACAGGGTGGTATCTTGTTCATCTGTGTCCCCTGTCCTGTTGTATACCTTAGAGGTGCATAAATGCTTGCAGCATCAATGAGTAAGAAGATAAATGTAACTTCAAAGAACGTATGTTTATCATGAGGTTCTGTTTGGTGCCCAGGAAGGGAACAGGGAAGACATATTCCCCCGTGTGTTTGAGTTTAGCAGTGAGTTTTCCATTTATTTAAAATGGTGTTAGGATGCACCTTTTCAGAACCAACTCAAGGCCTGTTGCTAGTTCTGCATCTATGAGCCAAGAATAGCTTTTACATTTTTAAGTGGTTGGGAAAAAAACCAAAGATGAGACATGAAAATGATGTGAAATTCAAATTTCGATGTCTATAAATAAAATTTTATTGGAACACAGCCATCCCTATTCATGTAGGGATGTCTTTTGAGCTGTAATGGCAGACTCTGAGCACATGCCACAGAGATGGCAAAGCCCCCAAAGCCGAAGAAGAAAAAGTATTATTTGGTTGTCTCTAGAAGTTTGCCGACCCACACTCTAGATTAGTGCAAGGTACATCTATGCCTGAGTTCAGAATAAAGTATAGATCTTTCCACATCTACAGGGGAACAATCTGGAAGCTGAGTGAGTGCTAGACCAGAGGAACAAGCCCAGTCCTAAAAAGGAACCATTCTAGGGCCATGTTTTATCATTTCTAGTTTGACATTAGTTTTTAAAAACAATCTACATATACCAAGCTTATTTCAAAAATAATTGGAGGCAGCAACTTTTCCAGTCTTTTACAAGTCTCCAGAAACCTCCTCAAAGACCAGCCATTGAGAGTTTTCTCCTTCAATACAACTGACTCTTGGTTCATTCAGCCTTCACCGAAACCCTCCGAGGTGCCAGGCCCTGTGCCAGATGTTTACAAGCAGGAGTCCATTTAATATTCATCTCACGTAACAGCCCTGTGAGGTAGCTTGTATTGTTCTTACTTTACACTTCACAAAACCAAGACTGGAGAAGTTCTACAGCATGCGCCAACTTACAGGGTGATGGCCCATTTTGTTTATGAACCCAGGCTTTCTGGTTTCTGAGTCTGTGTGGCCCTGACCATGGAGCTATATTGCTGCCATTCTCTTCATATGAATGAATGAATTAATGCACTTCGTTATCTGAGCACATGTTTGTCCGCTCAATAAGGTCGAGTCTCCACCCTCGTGGGACTAAGCTCAACTGAGAAACAGGTATTGTTCTTGAGTTGTGAGGAGGGCTGATGCAGCCGTGTAAATACAAATGCACACACCCCTTACTCACGTGCACGTTGGAGCCTGTGCGTATGTAGTTCTTCTTTCATCACTCTGCCCCACTTCGTGGCTCTGCTTACCTACATCCTATCGTGCCTCCCGCTTGTACCCCATCTTCTTTATAAAACCTTTCCTAGAAAAATCTCTCCATTGTTGCTCTCCTCCCTCCAATCTTCCTCTGTATCTCTGGACTCCCGTCACCTGTGGCCTAAGTCTATGCTTCCCAAATCCAATTTCCCTTAAGAAACAATTAGAAATGCTTAGGCCTCTCTCCTTTAAGTATGAGCCGCAGTAGGCTTAGTATGAGGCTATGGAATCTACCCGTTTAAAGTGATCTTCATGGCTGTGTGCGGTAGCTCACACTTGTAATCCTAGCACTTTGGTTGGCCAAGGCAGGAGGATTGCTTGAGCCCAGGAGTTTGAGACCAGCCTGGGCAATATAGCAAGACTCCAACTCTACAGAAATAAAAATTAAAAAAAATTAACCAGGTGTGGTGGTGCATGCCTATAGTCTCAGTTACTTAGGAGGCTGAGGGGGGAGGATCACTTGAGCCCAGGAGGTCAACGCTGCAGTGTGCCATGTTTGTGCCACTGCACTGCAGCCTGGGAGACAGAGTGAGACCCTGTCTCTAAAAAAATAAAAATAAAAAAAATCTGCATATGCTCTCTAGTCAGTTTTATGTATATAACACACCATTTAGTGCTTGGTATTCCCTTACATGGTTTCTTTTGTGAGAGTTTCTTTTCCGCAATGAGATTTTGAGCAATTTATAGAAGAGGGTTCTGTCTTTTCTTTTGTTGTAGCCCATTTTGCACTTATGTAGGTGACTGAACCCCATCTTTTGTCCTCTCAAAGCCTGTGTCTTGTCTGTGCACACTGCCTTCACTGAATTCAACAGGGGGACAAATAAGCCACTTCTCAGAAGGCAAGGGAATGAGCTCCTCTCACTTCAAGGCAATAAACCTCTTTTATCTGTTGAACTGGTCAAGCTCTTGGAATGAATGAAAGTCTATTATTAGAGAAAAGCCCAAAAGAGTTTTAATGCTTGATTCTTTATATACTGTGAAATAGGGCTTTCATTCACTTTCCCTCCACTAATATTTTGGCACAAGAGACCTCATGAAGGCTACCCGACCTTACCCCGAACTACCTCGTTAGCAACAGTGTCCTAGGAATACATTCTATTTTCTGAAAGACTTGTTAAGTTCGTATTAAAAAAAATAATAGGCCAGGCACGGTGGCTCACACCTGTAATCCCAGCACTTTGGGAGGCTGAGGCAGGTGGATCATGAGGTAAGGAGATTGAGACCATCCTGGCCAACATGGTGAAACCCCATCTCTACTAAAAATACAAAAATTAGCTGGGCATGGTGGTGCACACCTGTAGTCCTAGCTACTTGGGACGATGAGACAGGAGAATCGCTTGAACCCGGGAGGCGGAGATTTCAGTGAGCCAAGATCGAGCCACTGCACTCCAGCCTGGGGACAGAGCGAGACTTCATCTCAAAAAAAAAAAAAAAAAAAAAGAAATTTGTTTCTGCAGATGGAGGTGGAGGGTAGTGTCTTCTAAAAAAGCTCCTTGACTCGTGATCCCTGAATTTCTTCTCATTTGGTTCCCTCCTAACTCATTTCGCTCTCAAGGACAAGCTGCCTGGGGTGGGTGGGGCGCTAGGCAGCAGAGAATGGAAGCAGTTTCTCTAGATCTTCTAGGTTACAGCGACGCGGTGGGTCTCCACACTGTGAAGACTTGACGAGGACCTGGTGCCTCTTACCACTTAGCTGAGCTTGAGCAGGCTGTCACTGTACAGCCCCTTACAACCACCACTCCTACTGAGCCCTCTTCCTGCTTCCTTCCATCTCTTTGAGGTGGCTTTTAATTATCCCAAGGGTGAAGCGCTAAAATGGGATGTCTTAGGCCCCTCTTAGTTCTTGATAAACCATGAAATAGAACACGTAAAACCGTGTCACTACCGTGCTACTAAAAACCTAGCCAGACCACCTTAAGTGGAGTGACTATGGCTAATATCTTAACTTGATGTTTAAAAAACTGTGCGATTGTGAAGTTTTGATGTTTAGTGTTATTATAACTTTGGAATACTTAATTACTACCTTTTTTTCTTCAAAGAATTGAAAAACGTTGACAGATTAAATTAGGTGTTAAATAAATTCACTCGACTCTAGTGAAATGTGACAAGCAATTGTGACGCTCCATTTTAGCATTTTCTTTACATGAAAGACTTGGATGAATTAACTTAAAGGTGAAGTGATAAGAAAAATTAGAAATGCATAAAGATTTAGGCTTATCTCCATAATTGTGCAAGGTTCACATTTCTACTATTTATGTGTCCCCAGCTAGGTAAAGGCATAGAGTTCAGTGGAACAAAAGGAGTTTAATAGTAAAATTGTGCAGGCTGCCTGGCAAAGCCTCTCTCTCCTGTTTTCTCTAGCCGTGAGGTGTTCTGTTATTACATGCTTTAGTTTGTCCAAATAAACAACTTGTTATATGAAACTGTCATGGAAATCTTTTCTGCTGATAGAAACTTCACACTGTGGATTTTTACAAAGGTTGAAGTGATCTGCCAACATCAAATAAACAGGAATGGACTCTCATGGCTGAAATGAGAGTGGCCGTCTCCTCTTTCCGGAGGCACTGCCCAAACACAATCATCTTGGTGCATACTACCTATTAAATGAAGGGGAGCAAAGGCATCAGGTCTTCTTCTTGCTAACCTTTGTGCTTCCTCTATATGTTCTTACATTTGAAAAGTCTTCCTGACTTCTCTGGCATACACTTTCTATGTGATGTCATGTGGTATAAGACATGATCTTTCCTACTTGCCATGGCATGACATCATGTGATATGATGCGACTTTGTAGCCCTCTTCCCCTCTCCACGTCTTGCTATTGTCTAGTTGGACTAAGCAGAAAAGGCTTATGGATTGTGTGCCCTAGCTTCCTAGATGGGCTGGATTTTCTGTTTCCAATCTACTTCCGAGCTTTGCCATTCTCCAGCGCACACTGGCCTCCGGAAGCCATCTTCCACACCAGCCATCCAGCATAGCTCCGGGGGCGGAGGTAGGGACAGTACACAATGGGGGAGAAGGGAGTGTTTTAAACACCAAATGGCCACTAGTAATGCCCAGGGTACCTCATTTCTTCAGGGGTTGGAGATGCATTTTCTCCCCCTTGTGCCTTAAAAGAGCCCAGCTGACCCAGCCCTCCAAGAAGGCCTCCCTCCCGTGCCCCGCTGCCCTCATCAGCTGAGGCCGGCCAATGTCCAGCAGGCCCCGGGCCCAGAGCCTCTGGCCTGTCCGGCCAGCCCAAGCAGCCGCCAGCTGGCGCTCGTGAGCGCATGAAAGGAATCCGGATAATACAAGGCCTGGTGGAGAGGCGGGTGAGAGGAATGTGGCGGGAACACAGCACACCCTGCACGGTTCAAGCCAAGCTTTTGAAGAGTTTGACTCGTTTTAGAAAGCAAACAAAGTGCTCCAGCTATCAGCAATCTTTTATTTTGTCTGCTAGAGGAATGCCTTGCCAGTGTGGGCCGAGGACTGGGTGGTGATAAAGACACCAGTGTCCACCCTTGACTTGCCGAACGGAGTATGGACGGAGCATTCCTTTCTGCCCACTGAGCCCGGAAATAAAGAGCAGCTCTCTTCTTTATACAAAAAGCCAAAGGGGGTCTGGCAATGAGCATGCACAAGACTTGAAGTCTCGCTCACTGGTACCCCTGAGCTTTACAGGCACTAAGTATAAGTTCTCTTAACTTGCTGAAGGCCTGGCACCCTGTGATTTCAGACTTGACGATGTAGACAAGGGAGTGTTGCAAGGGTGTTCTTGAACCCAGGGCATGCAGTTCTCCTGATTCATGCTCTAACCTGCTTTTGGAGCTTCTGGTCTTAGGAGGGGTGGAGAGTAGTGACAAGAAGAAAGGCTGTGCCCTCCTGGCCCTAGCTGATAGAGGCCATGTCTTCCCCCAGTTTTCATTTTGCCATCTTAAAATCACTCTACATTTTCAAAAGTCATCACCTGTGCAGTTCTGGTCACCAGGCAAAAAAAAAAAACTGTCTTTCCTTTTTATCCAGACAGCTCTGTGCATTTTTTTTCTCTCCTCTCAAGCCCACTCTGGGACTCAGCTCCCTAACCATCCCCTCTCTGATGTGCCCCCTAATCTTTCCCACCCTGCTCTCTGCAAGTAAGTTCTGGCCTTCCTCACCCTAAAAACAGATTCACAGTTCCTTGTTCAAAAACCTGGAGGCCAGATGAGCTTGTGGAATTCAGAATATTTCAGATTTTAGAAAGAGATTTAGAGCATATACCACATATTACAAGACACTCCCAGTGAAATCCATGGCTGTGTCCCATGAGCAAAGGCATGCATGTTTCAGCAATTGAATCTACAAAGAGTCATGCCAAGTGGGTAAAAGAATACATATCACTCAGGCCAACTCCAATCAGGCTGTGCTGCTGAGTGAGCTATCAAAATACTCCAGATTTTTACATTTTGTTACTGTGGATGAGCAAATATGAGCCACAAACAACATTCTCTGGGTCTTCAGGATCTTCCCTTTGCCACCTCTCCTTCCCCAACACTGACCAAGTGCCCTCTATCTTTCACTTGCCATGACCAGAGAGTGGGTGGTCCAGCATCCTGGCCTCCTGCTCAGTCCTCCAGGCATCTGCTTCTGACCCCTGTTCCATCAATAACCATCAAAGCCATTGATGCATAGAATAGGAGTAGTGTTGAAATTACTAGAAAAAAGAAATGAAAAAGACTGGCAAAATACAAGCCTTGATGATGATGATGATGATCATGATGATAATTGAATTCAGCTGATAAAAAATCACTCTTGTCTAATGGCTGTCAGAGCTTCTAAGCACTAGCTCTCAATTTCTGCACCTACCTGTTGGTGGGCCTGTCCAGTGTGTGGCCTGGTGCAGGTCTGCAGAACACATTTTGAGGAGTCCTGCTCCAGGGGAACCCCCAGCCTCCATTGTCCAAGCCGGGGACTCTTCTCTGCCTGCCAACTCTATGATCTCCCCTCAACTCCTGAAACTCCTTGTTATTTCCCCTGTTATGAAATCAACTCCTTCGGTTTCCAAAGCAGTGGGCTCTTCTGGTTCTTCTACTTCTCTTGCCAATGTGTTTCAGTCTTCTTTTCAGGAGCCTTTCTTCAAGGTTCCATTCTCAGCTCCTTTTCCTTGTGTATTTTCTCCCTTATCTATCTCATGCTCTCCAATGACGTCTACTCTGATGACAATCACATCTCCCAACCTGTGTTCTGAGTTCCAAGCCCTCATTTTCTACTGCACCTAAATATTCCAGAGGCATGTCATAAGCTCCTTATAGTCAAATATTGGGATGATTAATTTTATGTGTCAACCTGGATAGGCCATGCATGCTACCCAGATATTTGATCAAACACTAGTCTAGACGTTGCTGTGAAGGTGTTTTAAAGAGGAGATAACATTTAAATCAGTAGACTTTGAGTAAAGTAGATACCCTCCACCATGTGGGTGGGCCTCATCTAATCAGATGAAGGCCTTCAGGGAAAAGAGACTGAGGTTCCCTGAAGAAGAGGGAATTCTGTTCCACCAGCCTTCAGACTCAAGCTGCAACATCAGCTCTTCCCAGGGTCCACATGCTGTGGGTCTACCCTGCAGATTTTGGACTTGGAGACAACTCCTTGAAAACAAACCAATCTTTTACTCTCTTTCTCTTTACACACACACACACACGTGTGTGCACGCACACACACACATAGATACACACATGTCCTGGAGAACCCTGATTAATACACCTATGAATGATAAATTCCCTTTAAAACAGTGTCTGTTTTAAACCATTCTCTTTCTATTTATGTCCCTACCAGTCACCTAGAATCAAAACCTCAGACTGATCTTTTATTTCTTTCTCCCACCTACTTCCCACATCCAATCAGCTGCCAAGGCACATCAATATTTAAATATCAATATTTAAGACATAAATCGCCTCCTTTTCATTCATCCACAAAGGGAGAGTCCCAACCACCACTCAGGCCTGATTGGTCATAGAATACATCCTCTTTTCTACAGTAATTAATCTGAGAACTTGACATGTAACTCAGAGTCAATCCAAGATCTTTTTGAGATTTGTATATGAAGCCTGGGAGAGAGACAACTTCTCTGTCTTTGGATCATAGACTGTAAATGTTTGCTCGGTGGTGAATATGTTTTTCTCCTTGTAGAGAGAGTCAATAGCAAGAGAGAATGAGTCCATGTGCAAAAAGAAGCAAAGGCATTTAGAGTGGAGAGATGGAGAGAACCCTAATCCTGTTGTCTGTGCCTCTGGATCTAGCCATGCCTGAAGTCTACTCTTAGACAACTCAGTTCAGAAGGCCATAAATACACCTTCCTGACTAACCTAGTATAAGTTAGATTTCTTTTACATGCAATGACAGTGTGCTGACTAACCCTCTACTGGAAAGTATTTTCCTAGAAGGCAAAGACTATACCTTATTCCTTTGCACCCCCTGTGGCAGCACATACAGGGTCTTGGAGATTATAGGCACTCAGTCAATATGCTGTGTTGAACTCCCAGCTTATCTTTAAGGTATTAGCTACATTGTGAACTTGTGTGTGGGAGGAGAGGGAGACATGACCAAAAGGAGCATTTTCTGTGGCTGCTATGATGGCAGAAATAGAAATGAGACTTATGTATTAGGAACATTCCAGGGTGATGGTGGTTTGAAGCATGGTGACCCAAAGGCGAAGCAGATCCACCCTTTTATTTCAGGTTCATTGATTTTAATCCACAGCTTTAACAATGAAAGGAAAAGCAACCCATATTTTCACTATTATGTGTGTGATAGCGGCAGTGTTTTGTCTACCTGTAGATCTGTATAAATATTTATATTACATTTCCTTGCCAGTTAACTAGTACTTGTTAATCCCTGCTGAGATTTCATTCACCCATCCACCAATACTTACTAATTGCCCAATATAATGCTAGGCACCTTGGGAGCTACAAAGATGAATAATACCTAGAGGCTGCCCTACTTCTTAAATACCTATTACAGTAGCAGCCAACGCGGCTGCAGGAAGATAAACTTGCGTTGGGGGAAAAAAATCACACCGTAAAGTTATGTAAGTTTCTATTTTAAAATCATCTGGTTCTAATTTACTAAATTTAATGCTTTAGAGCCAATGCCAAAGTGCTACATTTGATTTGTGGAAATACTTTAGCACATTTTTCCATCGTGCTCTTGTACAATATATTTACCACCCTTTTGTTATGGTTAGAAAGATTATGGACCTTAAAAAAAGCCCTCTTTATGAGCTTGCTGATATTTTGTCATAAAATGCCATAAGATGGAATAAGTCTAGTAAACAATAATATTCACTTAGGAGCATTCCACATGGTTTAGTTTTTTTTTTTCTTTTTAAATTTAACAAGGATATCCATCTGGAAAATGGATGTTTAAAAACTTTCACTATGCCAAACCACTTCTTTTCAGTGCAGACAGTATTTTTTTCGGGTGGGGGAGCGGGCAGGGATGGGGATGGATGTTTAAATAGCAGTCATACTGAGCTATACTGCTAACACAATGATAATGTTAATAGCAAAGGATAAAAGAATGTCATGGACCCAGAATTCCAAGAGGGAGCTTACAGAACATTCCAGCAAAATGGACTGAATGTAAGATATCAACCTAAGTGCCATTTCTGTACTGGCTCGGGGCCTGGCACAGGGCAGCCGGGAAGAGGCACAACTTGCCTCAGGTTGAGAGAGTTCCTGGGCTGCTTCCATCTCTCTCATCCTCCCTGACAGGCTCAGTCCACTGCTGTCATGGGTTCCAGTGACAGGCAAAGGCAGATGGATCCCAGGGCCCAGGAATGAACCATCACGACGTGGTCCCCCAGGCCCCGGGCCCCACCAGTTACCTGGCAGGGCAGTACGGCCACTGTCCTGTGGCCTATCATAGAAGAATCAAGATCTCATGCCAGCATTTTTGCTGAAGCCTCCCTGACAGGCTGCGGTTTAACCAATGAAGCCTGCCTCGAATTTTCACAGTGGCATTTGAAGCTCGAGTGTGGACTGATTTTGCTCCTGCTTTTGGGCTTTGCTCAGCTTACCAAAAATGAGAGGTTTTTCACTTCCCACCCACAGAAAACAAGATGGCAGCCCGGGAAACTCTCCCTCTCCCTTGCAGTATTCTATTTCTTTAAAACAAAGAAACCTCATTTCTTTCAAACAGAGCTTAGACATCTCTTACAAAGGAAAGGCTGCAAAGGCTGGGCCAGTCGACATGTTTCCTATCCAACAGGCTCTCGTTGCCTCCAGTTACGTGACTTAGGATGCAGGAGTTCAGACGCATCAGAATGAACGACATGTGACTGTTCATGGCTCCAGGGCTTCAGACGACTGCCCTGCAACCTCCCACATCAAGATAAAGGCTGCTTGTGAAGGGACACTCTAATGTGGCTCTTCCCTGCCCAGCCAAACAAGATTTGTGCTCCCAACTCCCTTGCCTAGAAGTCCAATCTTCCCATCTCCCCTTGAAAACACTGCCACATGAAATGAAAGTTTAAAACAGTAACCAAGTAAAGAGAGCATCATGATCTCTCCCTCCTTCTGAATTCCTCTTTGGAATGTCTTTTACTTTGCTCTTCCAGTCCATTCTTTCCTCCCTGCATACTCAGCTCAAGTCTGTCCTCCTAAAATTGACGCCAGCCTCTCTAGATGAGTCCTTTTTCCTGAATTTGTACTATGCTCAAAGTCAGTTCTGCTAGTTCAACACGGAGTCCTGGTGCCATTGTCTGCCATGTATGAATCCCTAATGCTGCCCCGCCTTTCATAACACTTGACCTTAGAAGTAGGCGATCCACTATTTGACCCAAGCGATAGAAATTTGTTTTTATTGGGACATAATTCACCTACATAAAATTCACAATTTTAAAGTGTACTCTTCGGTGTTTTATAGGATAGTCACAGAGCTATAGCAACATCATCACTATCTAATTCCAGAACTTTTTCATCACTCCAGAAAGAAACACCATGCCCATCAGCCATCACTCCCCATTTCCCCCCAGGCCCCAGACCTCTGGCAAATACTCATCTCATTTCTGTTTGGCAATAGCAATTTATAACTGACTTCATGCATTTTTATTTTCAGCCTGATTTCAAAGGCTAACACAAACACGAGATTGGCTATTTACATTTTTGTATGTATTTCAAAAGATGACTTCAGTCGCATGAACACATGTATACATTTAACACATGCAAGGGAACATGGAGTGATAACAGCCAAAAAATGGTAATAAAATAGAAAAGAAAAGCAAAATTTGGGGTGTGTTGGTGATGCTTTAGAAGGCTTTTAGAAAGAAAGGAGAAAGAAGGTCCCATGAAGATGGGAGATTATTCCTTTGTAGGCTTTCCACTGGGACACATCTATTTTTCAGATTATTTTGATTTAGGCCAGGTATATTATCTTCATTTTTAAGGGTTTTTTTAAAACTCATAAAGAGTTAAAAAAAGCTCTTCATTTTAAAGAGTTTTTTAACTCTTGAAAGACAATTTTTGGGATATAGAGCTGAAAGTTTCAGGGTGCCATTTTTCTATAAGATCTTCCCAAAAGAAACATTTAAAAAGATGACATATATACCACTGCTTACTTAAAAAAAATAAAAACAATAGATTTGAGAAGGAAAAAAAAAAGAAAGAAAGAAAGGAAAGCCTTTACCATGTAGAAGTCATGTGCCAGATACAGCTAAGTGCGCCATCTCTTCTCCGTAATGGTGAATCAGGGAGGGGTTAGTAATCCTACATATGGAACCTGATGCTCAGGGAGTGACTGCCTTGCTCAGGATCACAGCAAGGATCTAACCAAGGCCCACCTGGCTTCAAACCTCATGCTTATAACCTTGTTACTGCCTTTGAACAAAATTGCAGTTCTATATATTCTCAAACTGGTTCCCCAAAAGTATCCTAATAAGAAAATTGATGTTGTACAGAAAACGGCAATAGGCATTACATCTTCTGGTCTTGGAGAACAGCTGGACAGGGAAGGGGCTTGGCTGTTCTGCTGGCTGCTCAGGGTCCTGGCTTCTGTGGCCCTCCATTCTTCATTGTAGAAGGCATCGGAGCCTTTGGCCTGACACGTCCCCAAGGCCAGGCCCATCCAGAATGGTCAAGCACTGATTGGCACTAAGCCCCCAGCACACCAGTGCTACCCTGATCTCACTTGGTTCTGGAAACTTGCTCGATGGGAAACTGAGGCCCCACCTTGGCCCTGGGATGGCTCTGCTACCTGCACACGGCTCTCCCTACAGTACTGGTATCTGAGGACTTGATGAAGTGTCAGCTGTCTCCTTTGCCAGCTACCTGCCCTCTCCTCCATCTGATCATTGAATAGTGATGTTCCTTAGGCCCTGCCTTCTCCTTCTCTTCTCTCTCCCCAGAGTCCACAGTCATGCCAGCTATTCATATGCCAGTGACTCACCAGTTTTCATCCCCATGATGGGTAATTTCATATGTCAACGTGACTGGGCTGCAATGCCCACGTATTTGGTCAGACATTATTTTGGATGTTTCTGCGAGGGTTTTTTGGGAGGAGACTTACATTTAAACCAATGGACTTTGAGTAAAGCAGATTGCCCTTCATAATGTTGGTGGGCCTCATCCAATCAGTTGAAGGCCTAAATAAAACAAATATATATTGAGTCCAATAGGGTTAAGTTTGACTGTGAGTAACAGAAAAACCCTAGATGAATGAGTTTAAAAAGAAGTTAATTTTCTTCTTATTTGTTAGAATTCCTGGGTTGGTTCAGGGCTCTATAAAGTCTGTAGAGACCCAGGTTTCTCCTCTCTTGTGCTTTGAAATCCTCAGTACAAGGTCCAAGGTGGCTCAAATTCTAGACATCACTTCTAAATAACATCTTCCAGCCAGCAGGAAAGAAGAATTAGGTGAAAAAAGTGCCTCCTCCCTGAAAGGTGCTCCTAGAACCTCCATTCTCATCCCATTAGCCAGATCTTGGTCACATGGTCACAGCTAGCTGCAAGGGATGCTGGGAGGTGTAGTCTCTATTCTAGGTGGTCATTTCATGACTAAGGAAGAGGAGAATGGGTATTAGAGGATGACTGCTAGTGTTGGCCACAAGTACCTACTAGGTAAATATGTACAGTAGATGCTCCATAACTGTTTGATAAATGTACATGTGCCAGGTTTTTTCTGCCTGTTTGGATAGACCTCTGCTCATGGTAGGTAGTCATGCTAGGGTACTGGGCAATAGAGTGCATTTCCCTCTTCCTGCCCAGAGGTTATGTTCTGTTGGCTCGCGTGGGCTTCCTTCTGGCTCCTGTGTCTGGATCTGCCCTCCTGGTACACACGTGGTGAGTGTGGAGATCATGGTCAAGGGGCCCAGAGATTCCTGCCACAGGCAGGTCCTTTCCAGCTTTCTCCAGCCCACAGCAGTGCCTGGACCATGGCTGTCTGGGTCCTGAAGTGGGCGGTGAGCTCCCCCACTGCCTGTCACTCCACAGGAACAGATGTGCAAATGGCTGGCTGTGGCCAAAGACACAGTCAGACATCCACCTCAGGAGCACAAGTTCCAGAAAGAGGGAGGGAGAGAGACGTTGAGACTAGAGGAGGAATGAGCCTCTGCTGGTCTTTCTCCCCACTGGCCCTTGTCCTTGGAGGTCAAAGTCAGTGTAAAGTCATAAAATTTTGTGAGATGCTGGCCCTGGGTGAGAGTTAGAGCCCCCATGACAAGCACAGTAGCCAAAACCTAAATCTAATTTGACATACCATGAAAATGAGGCAATTGTATGTTGGCCTTGCTGGAATCCCCATGTCACCCTCCATTAATTTCTTTGTCAAGGTAGTTTCCAAAATCTCTTTTCCTCAGCATCATAAATGCTAAGGGAAAACATCCTCAAGTGTTCTTAACACACAGCAGGGGAGAGAGGCTGCTAACTGCCCAGAATCATGTCCTGAATCTACCGAAGCAGTCTTGCTGCCCGTCCTACGACCAGAGAGTTCTCTGGTGTCCCTTTGCCGGCATACCATTCTCTGCTGACATTCACCCAGTGGGAATCGCTCCTCCCCAGGTCCCCAGGAGACACCTGTAAGCTGAGTCCAGACCTGGCTTTTGAGCTTGACAATGACTGTTCCTTTGGGATAAAGGAGCTGGAAATGTACTGTGGCTTAGGCGCAGAGCCCCACATCCCGTCTCTCATTCCTTTACACTTGGCCACTCCAGGATGTTTCAAAGTTCCCATTTGCAAATCAATTTAACAAGGTCCCAGGCTGAACCACTGATTAACAACATTAAAATGATTCTTTTTACTGACTTCGGGATAAAACTACACACCTGCAAATTCCTTACTACCTTTAATTATGAACTTTGAGCCAATGTTCCATATTTTAATTTCTCTAGGTACTGGGCCTGGATTTTCCACCTTTGAAAATGTCTCCAGAATTTTTCTGCTGTAAGGAGACTTAAAGAGATGATGGGGTATAGGATAAGTGGCTGTTTAATTTGAGCTTTAAAGAAATATAACCTACAATGGAAAGAATACAAAAATGTTGTTGTATAAAAACTGGCTGGCTGTTAGTTCATTCTCTTGACCTTAATTCTCTCAACATGGAAAAGTCAATTCAAATGTAACCAATAGGGTCAACCCCATACTAACATTTCAGGAAAGATAGTGGTTCTAGGAATCAGTAAATGTGTTTTGCTGTCGGGGTGGTGGCTGTTTTGATTAAATCACCTTTGTCTCTTGTCCTCTACTAATGAGATACCTATGGTGGAGACATTTCAGAGAGCTTAATATTAAACAGATAGGGATACTGGAGTCCAGGCTGGTTAGGTGAGGAGCATAAATCCATACTGCAGAGGAAATTGACAACCTCCCCTGTGCAGAAGTTATGTCCTGAGGCATCTTCCTCGGTCACGGTCATGGTTTTCTCTCTCCTCTCTAAGGTGAGCGGGACTCACATCAGGATCTCAGTTTTGGTTGTGAGAAAGCTGAGGCCCACTCATTACCTGTAGGAGTGATTTGCCAAGGCGGCAGGGCAGGTCAGACCCGATTCCAGCTTTCCACGTTCCAGTCCAGTTCCTCCCCCTCACTAGGCTCTTTTCTAGTGACCCACGAAAGCTTCTGGCCTCAGACACAGTGTTCAACCACTTCAGGGATTTAGAATCAGAGCTACAAGAGGAAAACAAAGCAAAACAAGGAGCTGGCAAGGTTTAGCTGGAGAATATTGTCCTTTTTCTGGTGTTTCTAAAAACAAATGACCCTTTGTGCTCTAGCTGCCCTCAGAGCCTTTGACTAATTTCTCTGTGGCTCAGTGCCAGGGATGGCTGAATGCTGGGGATTCTGTGCTGCTTCATGCTTTGGCATGACTCTATGTATGTGTGTGTGGGGGGGGATGGTGAGTGATGGGCAAAATTCTCCCCTCACCTTCTGCTTGCACTTCCCATCAATGCAAAAGCATATCTGGGTGCTTTCGCTCCACCTCAGGGTTGAAGGCTGTGTCGATTCCTGTCACACACAGATTATATTTTGCTGTCCCATGTGAATCAGAGCTTGTGTTAATATCTTCTAGCTGGGCGCTGTAGTGCTCTCTCAGCCAGATCTTCATTTCATGTCTGTCCTGGGGCTCTTAGCTATGCCAGCAGAGCCCTCTGGAGAGCTGACTGGTATTCTCATTTTCTACCAGCCTGAGCATGTCATGAACTTTCTGGCTCACTGGGAGCTGAGAATACAGATGAACATAAAAATTGAGAAGAGTTATTGGAGGGTCTAAGAGGATGCCAGTCAAGCAAAAGAATAGTAGTTTCCTATTGCAATATCGGAACCAGCTCTCACGTCCCGATTTCACAGTAACTCATGTATTATCTCTGCTTATTTTGAATGCTTCAGCAAGATCTATGTTAATAGAATTCTCTATGGCTCTCCATCCTTTAAACAAATTAACACAGCCCACAGCTACCTCCCATGCCTCCTGGAAGCACCCCCTTCCATGGTCAAAGAAACCCTGTAGAGAGCAGAAAGGAGCTGGTAGGAAATAGACATCTTAGGTCCATGTCACTTACACTATTTAGTTATATAGAGCCTTCTGCACAAGCAAAGCATTATTATCCTAATCAAAGTTGAAAATGACAAATAGAGGACAGAAATGAATTCCTAGCCTGCAGTTTCATTTTCCCAGAAAAAAAAAACAACTCTGTCTCTTAAATATAGGGTTTGTTTGTGAGTAAATTGGTTGTATGCCCCAGGGCCTAACTATTCTAAGAAAATACATACTTTACATATTCTAAAAATAAATAAATAAAAATTAGACACAGAAATGGAAGTGATAGGAATGTATTTTTTTTTTCTCCTAAACTTCAAACAAGAAATCATTCTTTTGGGAAAATTGGGCTTGTGCTAGATGTTTTTAATGCTTTCCTGGCAGTTGCCTAAGAACAAAACATTATCTTGTGGGAGAGGAGTAGGGGCACGAGAATGTTTAAATATGTCTTAATGATCTAGGGGTCTTACAAACATCTGAGTCATAAAAAAGTCAGGTCATAGTTTTTTAAGAACATCTAGACAAGGATCAGGGTACGGTCAAAAGAAAACGCTTGGATTTTAGTCCTAACAGGTTCCCATCTCTTTGGCACTTTCATGAATGTGCGCAGTCGTTGAACTTACAACCCATGTTGATAAAAAAGAGAAAGTATCACTTTGCAGGATTGCAAAGGAGGAAAAGATATAATGAAATCAGACAAGGCCTCCCCGCTTGTAGGAATCTGGCCTCCTCCATTGAGGTTGCGGGGAGTAAGTGTACTGTAGCAGTTAATATTTCTGAAGGTAAAATTTGATCGGGGATATGTCTCATTCTTCACTTTTATTTCCTCTTGCTTGAAAAGTCATACATCTCCAGGAAAATTGCTGGAGAATATTTGCCTTTTCTTTCCCTGCACAACCCCGTGCCCCAGGACAAACTCACACCGCATGGGAATGAAAACCTGAACTTTTATGTTAACTTATTTCAAATGTTCAAAACTAGTTTCCACGTTTAAATTTTATGGTGTTTTTTGAAATGTAAAATTTTAAGTGTGGGAAACTATGGTATCATTTTGGAATTTAAATCTTCTGTGGGAACATTATAAAAACTATTACCAAAGTCCATTCCTTCTTCTGGACATCACAGGCAGCAAGACAAATATACTTTAAGTGCATATGTGAATGCAACATCAGGATTCTATAAAAAGAATAAAATAGATCCAGCACCCACCCTCTAAGACAATAATGACTCAGGCAGTGATATTATAGACAGGCAGACAAACAAGGATACAGTGAGAAGGAGTTGCACACGTCTGGTCATTTTGTACTGGTATTTTTTTTTAAATGAATTTTCATTTGGAGCCACCAATTAATATTATGGCATCTTCAAGCTTATGCTAAAAGCATGAAATTACAGATAAAATACACGATGGCCAATTACATTTGAATTTCAGATAAACTATGAGCAACTTTTTAGTAGAAGTACATGCCATGAAATATTTGGGTTATATTTGTGCAAAAATGTATTTGTTGTTTATCTGAAACTTTTCTTTCTTTTTTTTTTCTGAGATGGAGTCTCGCTCTGTCACCCAGGCTGGAGTACAGTGGCATGATCTCAGCTCACTGCAATCTCTGCCTCCTGGGCTCAAGCAATTCTTCTGCCTCAAACTCCTGAGTAGCTGGGATTACAGGTGTGTGCCACCATGCCCGGCTAATTTTTGTATTTTTAGTAGAGATGGGGTTTCGCCATATTGGCCAGGCTGGTCTTGAACTCCCAACCTCATGATCTGCCCACCTCAGCCTCCCGGGATTACAGGTGTGAGCCACCAAGCCTGGCTGTTTTTCTGAAGCTGAAGCTTAAATATAACTGGGAGCCCTGTATTTTTAAAAATTAAATATTTCTATTTTTAAACTTTTATTTCAATAATTTTTGGGGAACAGGTAGTTTTTGGTTACATAAATACATTCTTTGGTGGTGATTTCTGAGATTTTGCTGCACCTGTCACCCAAACAGTGTAAACTGTACCTAAAACCCTGTATTTTTATTTGCTAAATCTGACCATCTTACATGCAGAGAAATAGTTACTGCCATGACAGCCATCTGGAGCAAGAGGAGAAATCCCACTGGGCCCCAAAGGTGGTGGTAACTTACTGCTAATTAGAAAACTCTCACAGCATTTCTAGCTGCTCTCTCCCCATGGAGAGAGACCCTCTTCCCAGCTACATTCTACATCCTCTCTTAGAAGTCGGAGTGGGTGGAATGAAAGTGGCATTGGTGTTTTGGTGTGATCTTAAAGTTGCCACCTGCGATTATTCCTATCACCTGAGCTTTCACAAGTGGTATTTCAGTTCAACAAATATTTATTAAGTACATGCTGCTTTGCAGAACAATATGTTGGGTTGAGTCTCTTTTCTCAAGGAGTTCAGAGCCCCAAAGGGAAGACTAGCATGTCTACAGCTGATGCTATTCAAGGCAAAGTGTGGAAAAATAGAGAAAATGCAACAGGATTCATAGAGTGAGACAAATAAGTTCTGTGAGGAGTAGGAGATGAGAGAAGGGTTCATGGAGAAATGAGTGGATGAATGGGATTGGCCAGAAAGGAAGAATCTTATGGGCAGAGATACAAATCAACAGCTAACCATGCTGAGAGGACAGAACCACCAAAGAGATGGAAGTAAGAATGTGTGGTCGGAGGGATTCTCTGTTCCACCCCAGAAGGGGGTGATTCATTCATTCATTTGTTTATTCAGTAGATATTTATTGAATTCCAATGCATAAATTAATGTAAAACTGCAATTTTGTAAAGAACTACGTAAAAGAAATTCGCGTTGCCATGATAGGTGGTGTATGAGGCATGATCTGGTGAGGGAGGTTGGCCAGGGCCTTGTGAGAGAGGTAAGGACTGAGGAGAATAGAATTAGTCTGGTGACAAGAGGTGGTGGGGGCCTGGGAGGAGAAGATCTAAGGTAGCTGAAACAGCATGTGTGAAGGCCCCGTGGCAGAAGGAAGCTTGGGGCATCCAAGGAAATGAAAGCAAGCTTGGCGCATGGTGGGATGTTAGGCTTGAGAGGCAGAAAATTCCTTAACAGACCCCAAAAGGCCTTGCATGGATCCACATAGCCGCTGGAGCCATGCGAGGCCTTTTGAGATCTGTTAAGGATTTTTCCCTTAATCCCTGAGCACTATGGAATCACTTTATGTATTTAAGCAGGAGTGTAACAAATTAGCTTTCAGTGTGAAGGAATCCCTCTGGCTGCATAGGAGGGGAGAGATTGGAAGGGAACCAGAGAGCTATAAGGAAACTGGTTAGGAGGCTACTGCAGAAATTTGGGCAGAAGTTGAAGGGACGCTGTATTCTCCTGATCTCCCTGTATCTCTCCTAATACTATTTTTTTGCTACGGAGGAATACAGGAGTAACACCACTAGGCCCCCATCAGCATGCCCACAGAGCATCTGGGTCTTGGCCCAGCAAAGTGAAAAGAATTTCCCAAGTCACTATGCATGGTTTTTGCTAGAGGCTGGTAGGGCATGGGGCATCATAACTGAACAACAGCAACTCTCTGGAGCCCTGAGGGGATATTTCAAGCCTCAGAGAGTTAGGGGAATGTAGGCAGATTCACAAGCCACCTGCCTTGGTGCTTCAGAACCACCTTTCCCATGCCAAGCACCTGCCAAGGCAGGGCCCCCATCTGGCTGGAATCTTCCCGGCGAGACCTTCTCCCATTGGTTCCTCTCCTGCCAGGTGTATGTGCAGCAGGAGGGCAGGATATTTCTGTAATATTTGGCAAACTTGTGGAAACACTCCAGCCCACTCTAACACCACAGAGGCGCCTCTGCTCTTGTTGGCTGTATTCACCAAACAATTACCAAGAAGCGTAGGTGGTATCTCTTTCACAGAATTTATTAGTATTTAATTTTTATTTATTTATTTTTTTGAGACAGGTCTCACTCTGTCACCCAGGCTAGAGTGTGGACCTTCCGGCTCAAGTGATCCTCCCACCTCAGCCTCCTGAGTAGCTGGGACTACAGGTGCGTGCCACCGTGCTTGGCTAATTCTTATATTTGTTTTTGTAGAGACAGGGTTTCGCCATGTTGCCCAGGTTGGTCTCAAACTCCTGGCCTCAAGCGATTCTCCTGCTTTGACCTCCCAAAGTGCTGGGATTACAGGTGTGAGCCACCCTGCCCGGTCGAATTCTGATATACTTATTACAAACCCTGGATTCAATAGAGCCTTTGCAGTAGGCTGTTTGTATCAGTAGATGTGAATTGATTTAGGTGACATTCTGTCCTTTGTGCAAACTCAGAGCAGCCCCATGTGGATGGCATATTTGTAGGCTGACCCACTCTCACTCACCTTTCAACTTGACTGCAGGCCAAGCCTCTCTTAGAGAATCATTTTTCAACCTCCAATGCTCATGAATGCCAGAAAACAGGGTAACATTTATAAGGATTGTAGGTCACTTTGGCACTCAGGCCCTGGAAAAATGTAAAGTATGGCCATTGGACTCTTGGTCCCAGACCAATACTCTTCTGGGGGACCATCGATCACCTGCATCAGATCCTTCAAATGGTGGAGCCAGGGTTCCTCAACTTTGGCATGATTGACATTCTGGGCTGGATAATTCTTTGCTGTTGGAGAGTATCCTGTGCATTTCAGGATGTTTCACAACAGCCGTGGCCTGCACACATTAGATGCCAGTAGCACCCACCACCTTCAGTTTTGACAGCCAAAAATATCTCTACACATTGGCAAATAACCCCTGGGAGGCAAAATTGCCCCTAGTTGGGTGTCCCTGGTGTAGTCCTCCATCCTCATTGATCTAATGGGAAGACAAGGATCTGGAGAGGGAAGAGAGGGAAGAGTGCCTTCTGAGGGCCCGTGAGTACATGGAGGCAACCCTGGAATTAGCCTAGTCCAGGTCTGTCTAACAGCCCCCCAAATAGACCATGTGTTCTGACTTTGCTTCTTTTTGTCAGTGTTCCCATTCTAGACACTGCTCCTTACTTGTTCCTTTTTGTTCTAATTTTTTCTGGGGTCCCCTTTCTCCCGAGGTCAACCTGGAAACACTGAGATTTGCAAAGTTGAATTCCAATGCAGCAGAAGAGCCTGGCCCAGGCAAAACTCTAAACAAGATGAGGGCCGAGGCTTCTCATTTCTGCCTTCCAGCAGCCCCGCAGAGTGACAGAAACAATGTAGATTCTGTGTGTGTGTGTGTGTGTGTGTGTGTGTGTGTGTGCAGTACGGCATCAAAGGTTATCTTGTCTCATATCTTGTCTCTTTTTATTTCTTGTCTCTAGTTATTTGTCCCCTACTCATAAGCACATGTCCTTATGTCCATCTCTTGTTTTTTGAAACTGACTCTGAAGTTTTCATTTACAGTCAAATATAAATAACTGATCATAATCGCAAATGATCACCTTCCACAGAGTTGGAATATCCCCAAAGAGGCAAAGGCCAGAAGAAAGAGGACTCTATTCTGTTACAGCCATGGAATTGCACTCTTGAAGCACACAATTATGGACTCTTTTCTAAATGAACCAAAGTGCAAACAGAAGGTAGAGAAACTCAAATTTTATCACAGCATCCCATAGCATACTTAAGAGTTGATTTCCCATTGTAACTGCATTTTTACAGGGCTCAGAGCATTCAGTTATGGATGTTCTGAGCCTGCCATGTGCTTACCAGGGAGGCTCAGGGGCTGAACCAGGCCACCAAGGCTTTTACATCAACATTTTTCTCAAGAGCTGAGCCCCAGCACCCTGGCTGGCTGGCTCTTCTATCAAAGGTGTGAATGCTCTTCTCTGAATTTTGCTTAGATTAAGGTTCACTTAATGCTGTAACATGTTTGGTATCAAGAATTTTAAAGGAAGTGGTTTTGTGGGTTTTAATGCATTTTTTGCATTTAAATTTCAGGTCACTCAGCTATTGGTCTGAAGAAGCCTTTTTTTTTTCTATTTGGCCTTCTTTGGAAGCCAATTTATCGTCTGAGTTCTTCTCCTGTAATCTGAACTACAGGTTGCAGGTTCTGAACTACCTGAAGCCATGCAAGTCATAACACATCATTACTGACTTCTAGCTCTTTCCTTCAAGTGAGTGTGAAGCTGAGAGGGGTCATTAAACTCCCCCAGAGGGTAATGTCCATTGGGTTGAAGGACACAAAGCCATAAACTTGTCAGAACTGATTGCACCTCAAAGCAAGGTAATGCTTGTCAAGAGCTGGGGGAAAGGTTGTTTATTACTTCACAGGTCTCTGGCATTGCAGATGTTATTTCTGTCCTAAGAAGAGCAAGAGGAGCTGCAATATGAAACCAGAAAACAGACACACTTCATTTCTCTCTGCTGTTGGTGTTTTCTGGGGAGACCAGTGGAGTCACTCTGGGCAGGACTGAGGGGGACCTGGGTATATGACCAAGCCCTGGACAGTTCATGTGAAGGAGCAGGACCCAGCTTCCAGGTCAGGAGGGAAACATGCCTGACCTTTGTGCTGCTCTGCCAGGTGAGGTGTCCTTTCCTCTCCTCACCCAATGGCTGCAGGCAGGCTGAGAAGCCTTGCAAAACAAGACCTTCTGGCAGCAGGAGGGCTCTTTCTACTGCCTTTTCGCTGATAACCTTGCAGGGAGTGTTGTTTTGGCAAGTGAAGGTATCTTGGAGTGTACCCTCCACCTGGAGCCTGCTTACTCAGAAATATTCTCCAGTTTACTTAAGCTTAAAGACCTTTCGCTTCCAAAGGCCAACCTGGAAGGGGGCAGCAAGGGCTAATCTCAAGTTTTTAACACAGCAAATGATTTCGGATTCCTGTAAATTAAGCATTGGATTGTATCCTTGGAAACAGCAGGACCCTGCAAAGGCTTGAAGTAATAGGGTTGACTTTGAAGATGGGTTCTATCCTGTTCCCTAATACCAACATTACCAAGGAGTACTACTGTGAATAATTTTATTAGTATGTGTAATAATTTAATCTGAGTGCTCTAGGCATGTGTTATTATTACCAAAATTGACTGCTTATACAGTGGAATTTTGTTTGTATGCTCTCAATTTGAAGCAAAAGAAAAAACCACCTTACAAAAACAAATAATACACAGACAAGTATAGTCTGAAACATATTCATTCACTTCCCTTGGAGTTAGAGAAACAAATTGTATCTTTAGGAACAATAGATATAATTTCTAATTTTCCTATTAACAGAGGTAGGTATTGTTTTAAGATAAAGCAACCAAATACTAATATTAATTAGCAATTTTAACGTGTAGGATGAGGATATTGAGAATGATGCCAATACTGTCAAACCTTTTGAGAGATCAGATTAGATGGTTGTCTGCATGGTATGGTACGAGTAGTGCAGTGCTTGACTGCGCCCTTAACACACACACACACACACACACACAGACACACACCCCACCACAGAAACAAAGATCCTTCTCCATCTGCTAGTCTCAGTGTCAGAAATCGTACCATTAGGGATTCATTCACTTGGCTTATAGCATATAGCCTTTCTTTTAAAATACAAATAACCCAAAAAACGGAAATTAAATAACTGGTAGTCACTTACATTATAGAAATAATTGTTTTTAATATTCTTCCAGGCCTAGCATCATTGGCCATATATAAAAAAGGGTTCAAAAATATATGTTGGTATACAGACAAAAATAAACAGAGTAGAGAATGTACATTGAGAAGCTCCCGGAAGGCCTTGCAAACCTCTGTCCTAGCACACCAAAGATTTCCTGTGATTAAGAACACTCAGCATTACAGTGAGGTGGTTAAAAACATGGTCTTTAGAATCAGGTGGAATTGGTTTCAAATCCAGAGTCTGTCACATTAGGGTGTGTGCCTTTGGGAAAATTAATCATTCTGAGTCTCGACTTGCCCATCTGCAAAATGGGGTTAATAGTATATATTTCATAAGATGTTGTCACAATAGACAGAGATGATGAATGTAAAGCTACAGAGTAAGTGTTCATGAAATGATGAAGATCACAAAGATGGTGATGAAGAAGGTGATGACTTCTCATCCCACCCGTTGTCACTCCAGTTCTGGGCATTGAGTGAATGGGCTTGAATTAAATGACTTACAGAAGTGGTAGAAGTTTAGCAACATGTATGCTGGGTCCTAAGTAACTTGAAGATCCTGGACATCTGGGGTAAGGATGGTATTGAAGAGGAAGATGATATAAAAAGTGTGTTAGTCACAGAAATAGTCACACACTATTTCTCAGTTTTCTGTGGGTGAGTCTTCACACCTACTATTAACCATTCTCAGTGCTGAAAGGATGTGTGATATTGTGTGTGAGCATGTATGTGTGAGCACGTGTGTGAGCCTGTGTGTGTGTGTGTGTGTGTGTGTGTTGTAAAAGAATTCTTCCTGGGATTCATGCTCCATAATTCTCCACATTTGATCATGTCCTGGTTGGCTCACTAGGGACAAAGAATGACAGGTTTTGAGTTGTGTTTTAATGACTATAAAAACGAAGCCATTTTGGAAAGTAAGCTCACATGTGGCACAAGATGTTTTGTGGCTCCCAGCAGTTTTCTTTTTGCAAGATTTGAGAGGACTGAGCATCCCTGAGTACCAGAGCCGTGATGATTGGTAATAATAACGATAATGATGAAAATGTACATTGGTACGCATCTTTTCCGATTATCAAGCGTTTTCACATTCAGTGTCTCAGGTGGTTTACATAACAACTCCATAACATAAGCTAAGTCAGGGAAGTTATTAACTCCATTTTCTATATGGCAAAACTGAGTCTTTGGAGGATAAGTAACTTTCTCCCTGGTATTCTGCAGAACCACAATTAGAACCTATGTCTTTGCATTCTTAGTGTATGTTAAAATCAGTCATAGAGGTAAAACAATAATGCTTAATACAATAACTATCCTCCCATATTTCTGTTGATTTTCATTAGCATATTTATGTTTCAATTCATTCATTCAACATAAATTGAGCTCTTTGTCATGTGCAAGTCATTAGAAACACGAAGATAAATATGGCACAATCATTGCTCTCAAAGAACAATAGAGTTGTGTCTTACCTGTTATAAACTATACCAAGTTTATGCTTTTAACTTTTCTAATTCTAGTGAGTATGACTACCTTTATGGGAACAATCAGAGAGATTATATGGATGCGGATCATGGAAAATCCAGAATATATGGCTGTTGTGACAACTTGAACCTTGTTTTTACCTTATTTTCTCTCTTCCCCTTGTTTTTGCTCTGCTAAAATTCCCAAACAACTAAAAGTCTGTGTGCAGTGAAAGAGCACTTCGGCCCAGCGGTGAAGCTTGCAGACCACCAGACAGTCATTATTGCTATGATGTGTTAGATTCTCGTCTTACCCTGAGGATGTCAAATTTGGAACTCAGCTCCTTGGAATAATTATTCCTAGTGGAAACCTCCACCTTAAACACCTTTCAAATTCCTTAACTTTATCTGACTTTGGAGAATTTCTTTTAAAGAAACAGAAAAATTGAGAGCCTTATGTATTTTGGAATATGCCCCAGTGTAGAAAATTGATGCCAAACATGTGCCCGGACCTGACTTGCAAAGGGCTGTGGTTTAATGAGACCCTTTGCTTTGCAGCCTGCTGGCCCAGCTTCTATTTGCTGAGAGTTGATGGTACAAAAGCTCTAGCTCTCAGATCGCCAGGGAAGCAGAGGAGGAAATTAGCAAGAAACTTCCAAAAAGAAGGCACAAAGAGCCTTTGCTTTAAAGACTTACTTTCTCGGCAATGTGAAAATTTTGGCAGCTGCGTTAGTGACAGATTGGTGGCAACATTCTACTGGCCTAGCTGAACATTTGCTCTCCTTACCACCCCATACCCTCCCAGACTGTGCAATCAAGAGCATGCGGTCTAAATTCCCTTCCTGTCCTAAGGTGCCAACACACAACCCACACTTTGGAGAGTAGAAGAGGGAAAACATAGGCTTTGTTCACTTCCCAGATTCTCTGTGTGAAGCAAGTTTAGGAATTTATGTGTGGTTGGAACGGGGAAATATGACTATTCTGGAAGCTGTATATCAGTGTGGCTCCACATTTCCAATTTGGCTTCCCTATCCCAGAATAGGGTTCTTAGAGAAAAGCATTTCCATCCTCACATCTCAGAAAGCCAAAATAGAAAAGTCTGAGTTAAACACAGTATACATTCATTAAAAGAATAAAATAAGTTAAAGCTCAGTTAAATACATGGAAAATGGGTATGTGGATGAACAGAGCTATTCATGGAATTCAGGTAAATTATGACATCTGCTTAATGTGAAAATCACAAATAAAATCAGATGACATTTAAAATGCAAAATCATACATTAAAGTGTAAATTCTGGGCCAAATTCTCACCCAATACAATTTGATGGAAATTGTCTTATAGAAAATGAGTTATTCAATTTTTTTCCCATTTCCTGATGGTGAAAATCTGGGGTAACCAGTGTTTTAACAGGAAATCTAAAGGAAATGAACAATATGACCTTGGCTAATTTTTAATTCTGATGATTTCATGACATGCATAGTAATTGCATTTTTGGTTTTGTTTGACTTTATTTCAAAGCTATTAAATATACGTTCGATGCAGGGGATATGTTCCAGATAAACCATTGTTTGAATGTTAAAATTCATTTAAATCAGATAACCAGGCAGGATTTTGTAGCTTTTTTGTGTGTGTAAGGGGGAGGATTCTGATTAAATGTGAAACAACTCAAAGAGGTTCAAGAGTCTGGCCTTCATGATTAATAGTCTGCAGTAGATATTAGAAATCCAGACAGACTGAAGGCAAAATGCCTTCTCTTGGTAGACAGACTGTATTCTAACCTCCAAGGACTCTGCATATTTAGCCACTCTCAATTCAACTGCCTTTGCCAGCCCAGGCTTCATTGGATTAGAAAGTAGTGGAAAAAAACCCTCCCAGGAGTGATCGTCTAGAATTCCTTTAGTGTTTAATCTGTCTGGCGCATGGATGGCCCTCTTGAACTGCAGGGAGCACATGGCAGAGAGAAACGTCTTGGGCTGGCTGGCTTGTGCTTGGAAAGTGAAAGCAAGCTGTTATTTTCGCCTTCCCAATTCACATTCCTGGCCTTTGACATCATGAGGTCATTGTTTGGTTGGCTGGAAGGGTGTCACACGTGGATAGGTGCCATGAGGTCACATGTGCATAGGTGCCATTTTTGTCTGGGACATTTACACAGGGTACTTATAACCTCTTTTGGTAGACTGAGCCCTGTTGCTCTCAAGAAAGGAAGTTTGTTCTTAGTCCTAACCCAAATTTTAATGTATGCTTCTGTAAGCCTACATCCTTGCAAACCTTAGTCAAGATAGAGACCATTTCTCTCACAATAATCCATGTAGATATCAGAGCATCTCTTAGTCTTCTTAGGTTCAAGTCTAGACTTGAGCTTATTAGCTATCTGAACACGGGCATATTCCTTAATTCCTCTATGTCTCAGTGTCCTCATCTTTAAAATAGGGACAGTGGTAGAGCCTCCTTCATGGAAGAAGGGAAACGGCAACCATCAGAGTTCCCCGGATGTGGAAGGCAGGTCTGGGGCAAGGAAGGAGGGTCAGCCTCTGCTGCCATTCTTGTAGATGGAGAAGGGGCTTTGCAACCGGCTACCTCCCCACTGGAAATGCAGATTGAGCCCAGGGGCTGGGCAGTGGCGAGAGGGGGCCCAACAAAAGCTGGACTCCCATCACCTCCTCGAGGTGACAGGAGCATGCCCAGGCTGCAGTCTGAGTGAGATGGCGCCCCCAGAGGAAGAATCAGGGCTCTGTGAGGAACCACATGCCCCAGCATCCCGCGCTCATAGGTCACTGCTTGGGGAACCACCAGGGATAGTGGAGTGGTGTCTATAAAGATTGAGCAAGAGAAGGGGTCCCCAAGAATTCAATCTCTAGCCCAGTTGTTCCTTGAGTAAGAAAGCAGGAGGCAGATATTTAGGAACGAATCAAACCTCAAGGAACACAGCATCCATGGGTTCTTTTTGCAAATAAAAAGTGTGTCTTGAAAACCAATCCAGCCAAATAAAAAATGAATCAAAATAAAGAACTCAGAAACTGAGAGGCTGTGGATTCGTTTAAAACAGAACTGAGACCAAACAATTTGGGGAGTAAGGCTGAAAAAAAGAATTTAAAGGTCACAAGTAAGTATTTTAATATAACTAATCATACTGGTAAGAGAAGAAAAGAGGTTGAAAAAAATATGTTAACTGACTTCCTCATCTTTCCTGTCAAGGAGTCAACAGTGAAAAGCACAGTTTAAAAATAACAATAACTTCAGCTCTTTTAAGTTTTTCTGTTTGTTTGTTTGTTTCTTTTTTAAGAGATGGGGGTCTTACTGTATTGCCCAGGCTGGTCTCAAACTCCTAGGCTCAAGTGATCCTCTAGCCTTGCCTTCCCAAAGTGCTGGGGTTACAGGCGTAAGCCACTGCTCCCAGCCAGCTCTATAGGTTTTGCACATTTTCTTAAATTATAGGGACCTTTTAAGAACTAATATCTCTAGCAGTGAAGAAATGTCCAAAGTTCATCAGATTCTTCAGTTTTCAGATTTTTTAATCTGTTAATTCAAGGAAAATTAAATCAAATACTTCAAGTTTAAAATTGCATGAGTATCCTCTCATTATTCTAAATGTCAATATGAAACTACGGGATAATGAATCCTGGGTTATTTCACAGAAGAACTTCTTTGTGTCTACCAGGCTTTATATCTGTTATATGGACAAGGAGAGATAAGTGGAAAAACGCTCACCAAATATCAGCAATGGTTATTTCTGTGTGGTTTCAGGTGAAGATTTCAGATGAGTTTTAAATTTTCATTTTTTTCTGGTTTTCTCGATGACTTGAATATTGCTACAGTATTTTCTGGACTTTAACTTATTTTGTTCTTTCAATAAATCTATGCTTAAAGTTTTCCAGCATGTATGGATGGAAGCACTTTTCTCTATCCTGAAAGAACAATTGGATCAATTAATGTATTGTCCTTATGACTAGTAATATTGGCAGAAAAATTGTTCAAACTAAGACTGGTCACCTTTTTACAGAAGAAAAGGCAATTCTTTTGGAGGCAATTCTTTTGGAAGGAAGTACTTTTGGAGAGCAAGGAATCAGGGGAGAGGTGTCATTGGTACAGATGAAATGTGTTTATTAAATAATGCCCTAAAGATAACTGTATTTACATGTTTATCACAGCACTATTCACAATAAGAAGGATATGTGATAAACTTAAGTGTCTATCAATGGAGGATTAGGTAAAGAAAATGTGGTATATAAATGCAATGGAATACTCTTCAGCCATAAAAAAGAATAAAATCATGTCTTTTGCAGCAAAATGGATGGAACTGAGGCCATTATCTTAAGTGAAACAAGCCAGACACAGAGAGTCAAATACCACATGTTCTCACTCATAAGTGGGAGCTAAAAAAACCATGTATGCATGGACATAGAGAGTAGAATGATTGACAATGGAGACTTGGAAGGGAGAGGGGGTGGGAAGGGAGGGGACCAAGAGAAATTACTTAATGGGTACAATGTATATTATTCAAGTGATGGATAGGCTAAAGCCCTGACTTGTCCTCAGTGCAATCTATGCATGTAACAAATTTGCTCTTGGACCCCATACATTTATACAATTAATAAACAAATAATGCCCTAAAGCAGTGGTTCTCACCTGTGGGTGATTTTGCACCCCTCCCCCCTCACTTACTCCAGGGAACATTTTTCCATATCTGGAGACATTTTGGATTGTCAAACTTGGGTGGATTCGGGGGAGGGGGAGACATAGTGCTATTGGCATCTAGTAGCATCTGGGGATGCTGCCAAACGTATTACAATGCACAGGGCAACTCCACAATAAATAATTATTTGTCCCCAGGTGTTAATAGTGCTGATGCTGAGAAACCCTGCCCCAAACTCTGGAAAAAGAAGCCATTATATACACAATTCCCTTACAAGAGTGAGCCTGGAAGCAGATCCTATTTTAGCAACGAAAGCTAAGATGCTAAATTTATTCCTTCTGGCCACTGGAATTTTTAGCCAGGTGTATTTATTATTATTAAAAAAAACTTTTCTGCTTTTTATTGGTCCTTAGTCTTCAACTACTGTATGGGTTTATATTTGTCACCTAGGAATGGGAAGTTGTAACCAGTGGTCTGAGTCTAAGCCAGGATAGTTGTAGTTTCCAATGGTACCTTCAGTGACCTTGATGTAGGGGTCTCTGATCTCAACCCTACTGGCTGAACAAGCCAAGTCAGGCTATTTGAAGTCTCTGGAAAACCAGCCAATGGTCCGGATCAATTGCATTCAGCAAGAAGTTAATGCAAGAAGACTGGGCTCATCTTGGTGTGTGTGTAGGGAATGAATTACCCTCCTCTCATTCACTTTAAGGACCATTTATTGCTGTGAATCAGGAGCAAAGTATCAATAGATGGGAGTGAGGATTGCTTCTGTCAGGTAGAGATTTTGCTTTTAGCCCAAGAGTTTTTATAGCACCATGTCAAAGAGAATCTGCACATGCTGGAATTACCTGCTGGCTTATGATTACAAACATCCCTCATATGAAAATCTCAGCATTTCTGGCTGCTGCCTTCAATCGCTTTTTCTGAAATAGGTATCCCTTGATGTCGACTATTTGATTTCAGCCAGTCGTTTCTCTCTGGCAGTGCTCCCTGCAAATGTGTCCTTTCAAGAAAACAAAACCTGCAAGTGGCTTGTAATGTACCATGACCTTATCATGTGAAGGACAAATGGCTCTTGTGCTTATTAGATAGCAGATGAACTGATGAACTGAATTCTTGGTCTGAAGCTTTGATAAGGTCAGATGTCTTTGAAAAAAAAAAAAAAACCACCACTTCCTTGGCTGCAGGGATGTAGTTCCCAAGTATCTTTTCATAATGCCTTAAGATTTGTACTTAGACTTTATTTTACATGGCTTAAGAAATGGTTTATTAGTAAAATAGAATATTTTGATATTAGAAGAGAAAGCTGGGCTTTTAAGGCTGTTGGAGACATTGGTTTTCAACTAAATACATATGCTGATTGCTGCATATATTTTCAACAACAATCCTAGGGAACAAGGGTATGGGCAATTCATTAGACATAGCACTAATCAGCTAGTAAGAAAAAAAAATTAGGAAGCTATTGTCAATGCCTGTGGAGATACGGGTCTTGTCTGGGGGAGAAAAATGGCCTTTCTCCAGTTCTCCAATAAACTGTTTAAAAAATGGCCTTTCTCCAGTTCTCCAATAAACTAATTACCTTTGAATATTATATCTAAGGCTTATAATAGAAAGTTTATTTCTAAGTATTATGCCGTAAGAATAGATTGAATTTAAGTAGAGAAAAGTAAAAGGGGGCACCAAACTGACCCTCAGGCTTCACCCTACAACAGATTTAGACCACAGCAGAGTTGGGCCTCAGCTTTGCTGGCTCTGAAACTGGATGTCAGTGAGTCAAGGTAAAAACGGCATCTATAATATACTTTTATTTTGTTTCAGACAGGGCCCCACTCTGTCGCCCAGGCTGGAGTGCAGTGGCGCGATCTCGGCTTGCTGCAGCCTCAACTGCCCAGGCTCAGGCGATTCTCCCTCCTTACTCTCCCTAGTAGCTGGGACTACAGGCATGCGCCACCGAGACTGCATAACTTTTGTATTGCTTTTTAATAGAGTCGGGGTTTCGCCATGTTACCTAGGCTGGTCTCAAATTCCTGGGCTCAAGTGATCTTGTCTTGGCCTCCCAAAGTGCTGGGATTACAGGCGGGAGCCACCACTCCTGGCTGAAGTCAGTATACTTATAGAAGCATTCATTGAAATACAAGAAGAATGAAAGAACAGATATATAGAATAAGACTGAGTCAAAATTGTTGGCTTTTAATGATAATAAAGAATTTACCAGCTGGGTGCAGTGGCTCGTGCCTGTAATCCCAGCACTTTGGGAGGCCGAAGCGGGCAGATCACCTGAGGTCAGGAGTTTGAGACCAGCCTGGCCACCATGGTGAAACCCTGTCTCTACTAAAAATACAAAAATTAGCCTGGCGTGATGGCAGGCACCTGTAATCCCAGCTACTTGGGAGGCTGAGGCAGGAGAATCACTTGAACCCAGGAGGCGGAGGTTGCAGTGAGCCGAGATTGGGCCACTGCACTCCAGCCTGGGCAACAAGAACGAAGCTCCATCACACACACACACACACACAGACACACACACACACACACACACACAACCAATATTTGGGGAAAAAGGGCTAAATTTATATTTATTTCAACTGGCCCAAATGGGAGAACTATATCATATCCTAGGTTTTAACCTGGTTTCAGAGGTATTTAAATCAGCTTGAAATTAGGAAGAGGGATTTTACTTCTCTGTAAGAAATTTCAGTAAAAATGAAAATTAAAATGGGAATTTGTGAACTTAGAGAGGTCAAGTATCTGAAATTTCTTATTACGTAAAAGTGCTATTTTCCTCTCGTCTTAAAACATTTAACAAAAAACCCAAACGTTTGAGGTTAACTGCAATTCAGTGAAGTTAAGCCATTCACTACAAACAAAGTACCTGTTAAAGGTTTTGGGCTGGAAGTGAGTGATGGCAGTGCAAGGTAAACCTTCTAAGAACTTCTGCTCCTTCAGTTCTGCTCTGGACTTTGTCTGGTTAGGTGACAGGTCATTCTAGCTGCTGTGACAATAAATTTCTGACTTTCTCTGGTGTCTTAGGCTATTTAGGGAGCTGCAGAGAATTTGGGGATGAGGATTGAGAGAACTATAGCTATGCTATTTGTTTTGGTTTTCTTTTGTAGAGCGTGGAAAACCTTTATTTTACAACATTATTACCAGATTTATAGTCAATCTAGTTTATGGACTATTTCATTCACTAAACACTAATATCTAAGTTGAGATTGGCAGAGGGGATATCACAGACCTCCTTGGGTATCTGAATAAAGTATGACTTTTCTTTCCAGAAAATGCATACACAAAATTGCATACAAACTTAAATACAGGTTTCCAATTGCCCTTATGGGGCCATGCACTCAATTAAATAACTCTTTTTTTTTCTTTCTGGTGATTTCTTTCCTTTTTAATTCATACAAAATAGATATATGTAGTTTCTGGGTTGTTTCGGTCTGTCATTATTTCCAAAGATAAATTTAGTTTGTAATAGTAAAATGGATCACTTATTAATTGAGTTGTGCCAGGTTAAATACCCAAGGGTGTTCTGCAGAATAATCTCTTACTTCCTCTGAATTAAACCTAGAGTAAACCATTAAAAAACAAACAAACAAACAAACAAACAAACACTCTTGGGCGGATGCGGTGGCTCATGCCTGAATCCTAGCACTTTGGAAGGCCAAGGCGGGTGGATCACCTGAGGTCAGGAGTTGTAGCACAGCCTGGCCAACATGGAGAAACCCTGACTCTGCTAAAAGTACAAAAATTAGCCGGGTGTGGTGGTGCGTGCCTATAATCTCTCAGCTATTCTGGAGGCTGAGGCAGAAGAATTGCTTGAACCCAGGAGGCAGAGGTTGCAGTGAGCCGAGATCGCATCACTGCACTCCAGTCTGGGCAACAGAGTGTGACTCCTTAAAATAAACAAACAAAAAATCCACTCTCTTGTTGATAAACAAAGATAAAACACTCTCCTGATGAAAGGGGTTTGCCATAGGGCGCTTTCTCGCATTCTGTCAACTTCAATTAGCAAGCAAAGCTACAGTGTTCATTACCTTAGATTACAAAATAGTAAGTAGTGATTAACTGTAATTAAAGGGAGCTAGAATTACAGTATCACCAAATGCAGGCTATGTGGTTTCTCTCCCTCCCCTCAACCTTTTTTTTTTTTTTTTTTAAATGTTCCAGGGATCTCAATATATCTTCACAGAGTGATTTCTTGCCCCCGGCTTTTCCTACCATCCCAGGAATAATAGCAACACTTATCTACCTAAAATAAACAAGCAGACACTTTTATGACAGCTGGAGACCTTGAACACACTTGGCCATGGCTTATCAGCCTCCAATGACGTAGTCGTGAAGCAAAGAACCTCTTGGACCCTTAACTTTATCACTAATAGCAACATCCCCAGCAGCCTCACGTCCGCATACAGGAGCTGGCAAAACCCTAGAAAGCAGCTGCTCTAATGCTCTCATCTGGTTCAGTGAAGTTACTTAACACAGCACTTAGAAGGGTCTGTTTCTTTCCATGCAGATACCCTCATTAGTTATTTACGTTCAGTCTAGCAGGACAGACAAACCCAAAGAGACAGTTGAGGCTCCAAAGAGGGAAGTCAAAGAAAGAGAACTGCTTGAGGATTTCAGGGAAGGCTTCTAGGAGGAGGTAATGCCTTAGCTGAGTATTGGAGGAAGCAGAGGAGTTAGATGACTGGAGAAGGGAATTGGGGGTGGGAAATGCAGAATTCCAATCCCAGGTGACGGCACAGGCAAAGAGGAACCGCAGTCAAGTATCACTCTTTTTTGGCCCATTCTTCAAGTTCAGATTCCTTTATTTACTTTTTTTGAGACAGGGTCTCACTCTATCTTCCAGGCTGGAATACAGTGGTGCTATCATAGCTCACTCCAGCCTCCATCTCCTGGGCTCAAGTGATCCTCCCGATTTAGTGTCTCAAGAGTTGGCACCACAGTTGCCACCACACCTGATTAATTTTTTTTAACCTTATTGTTTTGTAGAAATGCGGTCTCATTTTGTTGCCCAGGCTGGTCTTGAACTCCTGGCCTCAAGTGATCCTCCCACCTTGGCCTCTCAAAGTGCTGAGGTTAGAGAAATGAGCCACTGCGCCTGGCCCAGATCCCTTTGCTGATCCATTTTCCCTGCTTCAGCTGCCTTTGGCAGAACAGAAAGGTCTGCTCAGGCAGTGTGAAGCTGGCCTTGTTGCAGAAAGATCTGGTAGCCTGGCCAAGTCTGGTCTTAACAGTTAGCAGGTGCAATCTGAGCTCTTGCACTTCTTGGAGGGCAACTTTCCAGCAAGAGAAGGGCCAGTAGGTTCAGTCTAAGCAGCTACAAGGGCCCAGTGTGGGGAGGGAGTAAACATATCCAAGGAATTGAAGAAATCAAGATAAAGTCTTGGGCCTCAATGGCTTCATCTTCATAGTCCTGCATTAAGTTTACCCCATACTTCTGTGTTTGGAAGGAAAAATGCAGTCTTGACATGGCGACATCAACTACATGTGGCTGAATCTGCAGCTTCATTCATTGGGGAAGTGGTATGTCATCCATTCCAAGGTTTTGACTTCCTCTCTACCTCTGCTCCCTCCTCTCCAATCTCAGCCATTTTCTCCAGCTGTTGTTGGTAAAGAAATGATAAACACGCACATAGCTGAAGTATGACAATATTATACAGAGCTGCATTTGGGCCCCTGCTATGTAAACTAGGCTCATGTATTGAAAAACCACAATAAGCAACAAGACACATCCCTTCTCTGAAAGCATGTTTCCGTCTAGTTCTCCTATCAAGATATTTTCCCAAGCACTTCTTAGGTGGCCCCACCACAGAAGAGAGCTGTCATATCAAAGGACAGCCCGGTGCAGAACTCGTGTGCCAACTCAGAGGACTCTCTCCCTCTGCTCCT